>NC_000014.9:78551106-78702622 GCF_000001405.40 Homo sapiens | reverse complement strand
AAAATACAGAAATTAGCAGGTATGGTGCGGTATGCCTGTAATCCCAGCTACTCGGGATCCTGCAGTGGGAGAATCACTTGAACTCCGGAGGTGGAGGTTGCAGTGAGCTGATATCGCACCACTACACTCCAGCCTGGGTGACAGACTGAGACTCCATCTCAAAAAAAATAAGAAAAGAAAAAGAAAGATTCTCTCTTGAGGATAACTTCTAAGCCAATTGTCAAGCCTAAGAGGCAGGGCTATAACAAAAGAAAAACTCTGGATTTAATAAACTATAAAATCATAACTTTATATATTTATTTATAAGTTATATATTATTTATTTATGAACTTCATATATGTATTTATAAATTACATATACTTATTTATAAATTGTATATACTTAATTGCCTAATGTGACATTTATGAGATGCACACACACCAAACACTTGCTCAGATTTAGATTCATATTCATGAACATCATTTTTCATCACAGGATGCCATTGATCAAACTCTAACAGTGAAGTCCAAGCACAAATGTGGCAGCAGATGGTCCTCTTAGATCCCAAAGTCTGAAAAACCTAATATCTGGCATGACCAGAGTCACATCTGCATCTCTGGTCTTGCTAACAGGGGTCAGTAAACTAACTCCACCTGCTGAGATACAGCTGACATCCAACCTGGGGCTCATAGTCCCAACTGCTGCATCGCATGGATGCCACCATTTTCATGCTTTATATTTTGTTAACAGTGGTCAGGATCTGCCAAAGACAAAAACACTAAGCACCAAAAATAGAAAACTGGAACTGAGGTTCAGACTTGCAAGGCAGGAGCCAGAAAATGTCCAAGTTCTAGAGCTCAAAATAAAAGTTAAAAAGACTCCAGATAAAGTTGAAATCAATAGTACAATGTTGACAGTTAATTAATTTTTAAAAATTCTATGTGATCCAACACTCTATGGGTCAAACAAAGCGTATCTGAAAGCTAGATTTCACCAGATGGGGCCACCATCTCTGATCTATGGCCCTATTTGTAAGAGAGTGGCCAAGAAAATATAAAAGGGACATATGGCAAGCTGGAGTAGAAGAAAAGATCCAGGAAACTGACGTTGAAGTAGCAAAATCCTTAGACCATACCTCATTCTGAAAAAAGCCATTCAGTTATCTAGGCATGCAGGCAGGCCAGCCAGAAAAAGAGAGACAGCTGTAAGCCAGTCAGTTTTTCTGCCCTCATGAATCACAGAGCCATGAGTGCAAGCCCAAAAGCCCCGCTGATAATGCGAGTCATTACTACCGGTGCTCAAGTTAAGCGTAGGCTTTAACAAGTATTTATTTGATGGATTCTTTGTGAAAGGAAAATGATCCTATAGGTTTATGCCCAGTTACAGATGTGAACAGTAAGAAGTTAAGCAAGATTTCTGACCCTTTGCCTTATTGAATGCTCCATGCCTGTTCAGAGTGGAGGTCTCAATTTTATTCTTCTCAAGAAGAACTTTCTTAGGACTTTTATTCCACTTAAATGGCTGATCAGGAACAGGCTGCAATGTATTTGTGTATCTTATAGAAAAAATTTCCAGGCCGGGCGCAGTGGCTCACGCCTGTAATCCCAACACTTTGGGAGGCCGAGGCAGGTGGATAACAAGGTCAGGAGTTCAAGACCAGGCTGGCCAAGATGGTGAAACCCCGTCCCTACTAAAAGTACAAAAATTAGCCAGGCATGGTGGTGGATGCCTGTAATCCCAGCTACTCGGGAGGCTGAAGCAGGAGAATCGCTTGAACCCAGGTGGCAGAGATTGTGCCACTGCATTCCAGCCTGGGTGACAGAGTGAGACTCCATCTCAAAAAAAAAGAAAGAAAGAAAGAAAAAGAAAAAGTTTCCAGTCAATCAAGTTTCTAGAGCATTAAGGATACTATAAAGGCTCAGTCTATCACAGTCTATCACAGGCTTGCTCTTTCAAGCTTTATCATTTTCACAGAGTCCACTAAGCTTCTACTAAGTTAACAAATAAGAACTTGACATAGACAGACCCAGGCAGAGACATAAGACATGAACTGGCAAGTAGGGGGTGTAGTTCTCCGAGATAGAACTAGTCAATGGGTAGTTTTAAAAGTTTCTAGCTGCCAGTTAATCTTTTCAGACACAACTGGATAGCAGCTCTCCCATTTCTTAGAGCCATGTTGGCAAATATGTGCCTCTACCCTCCTTTCCCAGCAGATGGCATTCATCATCAATAGACATATTTCTATTCTACTTCCACTCAACCCAGATGAAGCCTCAGAATCCTCTCAAGGTAGTGCTCCAGGAGGTTAACTACCAGTCACTGAGAGCCAGAAATTGAGATGAACCTATTCTCCACTTTTCTTATCCTCTAACGCAAAAGCCAAGTTAATATGAATTGATTAGCTATATTAGAATATTAGAAACAAAATCCCATGTAAATGTACTAAATAACCACTGTATCTTTAGCTCTAGACCATGGAGGATAGACCATGAGACACAATTGCTGCCAACAACATGCACAGAGAAAGTTGAAGGACAATTAAGGGGGGAATATTTTTTCATATCAAAATTGGAGTGAGATATATTTGTCATGTCAATTAATGTACAAGGACCTATGACCATAAACTTGATTGAAACTGTACTTCTGTGCCCTCTGGTTGCTAGGGATGGCACTGTTTCGATCCTCTAAACTAAGCGTCATAAACACATGGGTTGTGTGTTTCTGATGTGATAACCAATGCATTCCCTGTATTTAGCAAAGTGTGTGGCACATAGTAGAAGCTCAATAAATACACACTCTCATTTCCTGCATTTTCTTAGGCACTAAACAAACCTACCCAGAGAATGCCTACATTTCCTTCTGTTTTAGAATATTTGATGAGGGCACCAACTCCAGTAGAGTAAAAGTTACATGTCACAAAGCAGAGGAATTAAGATGAGGTGAATAGGTGGTACCTGATTATGAAAAGCTCTAAAAATATATACATTATGCAATTAGGGGAAAAAGGTAACTATTAGAGTAGAAAGGAAGCCTTAAGCAGTTTGATTAAAAAGATGACGAAATTTAAAACATACCTTGCTGAACCACTAGGAAACTACTGTTATTTTTATTCCGAGGACTAGAAATGACTCTAATCGTCTCACTATTAACATGTCTGGGAATAACATGTCATTCTCTGCTTAAAATTGTTCGATGGTTCTTTATCAACTTCAGAATTAAATGCAAACTTTGAAGCATTATATAAAAACCTCTTCCTGATCTAGTCCTCACTTCATTGTTACCAGCCTTGACAAAAGTTCAGCAGGTCCTCCAATTTATCATTCCAGGGATAAATCTTGCCTGGATTCTCTACCTGGATAACTACTATTCGCCACTTGAAGCACAGTTTAGGCATCACCTCTTTTTAGAAACCTTCTTCAATATTTCTACCCACTCCATTCCCACCCACAGCTGATTTCTTCCTCTCCGCCCCCATGGCTTCATGTTCTAACTGCTATCATTGTATCTATCACATTGTGCTGGAATTGTCTGTTTCTTCCAGTAGACCAGGAGCCTCTCAAGGGGAGAAACCTATGCCTTTTCTCTCTGTATCTCTCAATGCCTGACACAAAGTACGTGCTTACAGGAGGAGGTGGAAAAATGGGAAGAAGAAGAGCAAGGAAAATCACAAGGGCTACTTCCTGATGCCTTTAAGTCTGTGAAGACTATAATGCAGAAAGAAGCCTCTATATCTATTCTGCCTGAAAATAAGTAATGAGATGAAAAGGTAGAAAGCTAAAGTATTACAAATGGTTAAAAGGCATTTCTTGGAACCACTGAATATTTAGTAGAGTTTTCCCCGGCATGTATGCATAGAAAATTTGCTTTTATTTTTAAGGCAATCTATATGGAAAGTTCTGCACCCCAGAGTGGCAGCTATCATTAGTGTATATGTCTCAGCAGAACACTAACAGAAGAAGTAAAAGCTCAATCACAAACTCCAGTAAGATCCTCTAAGAGACTGGCTGACAAAGTTCGGTGCCAACACTACCTCCCACTCTGAGGCACGCTAAGGGGCTACTGGACACCTCTAATATGACAATGTAGCTTTGACTTGTCATAGAAAACACATGAATGTTTTGAGACAGTATCTCAGAGCCTTCATCCTCTCTACCTAGAGTCAAAGAACAAGAACGACTCTCCAACAATGAGGCCTTTGGCCATAACTAGCAGCTTCTGGCTGTTAGCAGCTACTCTGAAAGAAAATAGATGACAATAGGCATGCCAAACAGCTTTTGTAGAAAAAGCTAATCTGAGAGGCTCAAAGACAAAAGAGTCATAGAAAATACTGTAAAAGCATTCAATGAAATAGAACCTTTAAGAAGTCTAGCATAGTTGGTTGGAAACAATAGTAGCACATGAGGCAAGCAGGTATTGTAAGCAATCCAGGTGACAGAAGCAGTTAGTTCAGAACCATGCGTAAGACGGGTTCTATAAAGAGGTGCAGGCTAATGGGTAAGTTCCAGAACTCTGGGGCTAAGAAGATGACTGCGTATAGGGGCAACCTCTTGTAATGTCAAGCCCACTAATTTATACAAAATACACGTGGACCAGTGCTGTACGGCTTCCTGATGGCTCAACAACCGCCAAAGGAGATCTGCCCGTCAGAAGCAATTACAAAGTATTTCTTGCCTGGCCTGTGAAGCACTTCTGCTTCTAGCCTAATGAAGGCTTTAATCAGGTGGCTTTTCAAAGTGCTCCAAAGAGCCCCTCTGCAATCAGCAAAAGAGGTGGGGAAAGTGATAGGAAGAATATGTCAGGTTGGCAGGTAGCTGATAACAGAATGATTTCCAACCTGGTACAGGAGGCAGCAAATAAGAGTTGGGTGCAAACTGACAATAATATAGACAGAAATGCTGGTACTCGAATTAATTTTTTTCCAAAAAAGGTTTCTTTACACTTTGCTAGCTTAAAAGTAGTCATGCAACAAAAGGTCCCCTCCTTTCTTGGGACTCCCTTTCAAGGTGATGGTATATAGGCCCTAATACTTTTACCTATGAGTTTGCATTACCTTTAGTAAATCTGCAGAGACCTAGATCACCACTAGATGTCCCTTATGCCATGCAAAATCAACCTGAAATGAATTTCACTACCAGTTACACAAATCACATTTAAAGATAGATTTTCTAAGCCTTTGATCTTGGGTGCCAACTGTAATTCCTATGATGACTCACTCCGTTGCCTTATTTATATTGTGTCCACTTTGGTAGTATTTCAATAGTCTTTTATTATAACATATAAAATTATAGGCAGAGAATAGGAAACTGATGAATTAAATTTCTTTTATATTTATATAAAAGAAGAGGTAGAAATAATAGAGAAATAGGTAGAAAGAAATATTGGAGAAAAGGGACATAGGATGTCTAAAGAGGTCCCAAATTCATTATCACTTCTAGGAATCAAATAAGTTTTCATATAAAACCACAAGCTCAGACTAAATTCAGATTCTCCATACGCTGGGATTTTGTATTCTGAGATTAAATAAAACTAGGTGTGATAAATAATTTTAATTTCACATCTCAAACGTGATCTATCACGAATGGTTGTCTATGACACTAAGTAAGGAAGACTGTTGTACTGTGATCAACGAGCAATGTCTGCTACGGGTGTGGGAACTGGGAACAGTGGCTCCCATGACATGCCTTTGCAGAACTTGGGTTAATCCCCTAACCCTAAGGGTCCCAGACTTGGGATGAATGTGGGTGATGGTGACAGTGGTGGTGATGGCAGTAGTAGAAACAGTGATAGCTAATATTAACAGAGAGCTTCCTATGGGTTGGTCATTGTTCTTAGTGTTTCACATGTAAAGACTATTTAATCCAAATGTGAAATATATTCAAACCAAGATGTGACAATACCTTTGAGAATAAAAGAAGGAGGCACTATTAATAATTCACCTGGACAGGAGATATTACCCAGAACTTTCCAAGGTGACCTGGAATAGATGGCCACCCTATTTGATCCTCACAATCTGAGGCACAAGAAGCAGCATAAAATATAGTTAACAGCAAATATGCTGAGTTGAAGTATATTCTGAGTTGAAGCATATACTCTGAGTTGAAATTCTTGTTCTGCGACTTGTTACTGTGTGATCTAGACAGGTTACTTAATCTCTCTGTACCTCAGTTTTCCCATCTTTGAAGTAGGATAACAATAGTACATTTACCTCATAGGGTTGATGTGAGAATAAGAAGGTTAAATACATGTAACATGCTTAGAATATCTCCTGGCACCTTGCATATATTGGTTACTATTATCCTCATTTTACAATTGAGAAAACTGGGAATCTGAGATTTTATTATCTACCTAAGCTCACACAGCTATTAAGTAGTGGAGCCAGCATGGAAATAGAGATAAGTCTGGCTTCAGAGCCTATAGGCTTAGCAACTATTACTATCCTCTCTCTACAACAGAAGAGAAACTAAGATTCTTCAAGATCACACTTTTAAGATTCTTTGATCACACTTCTTCAGCTAGCTGGATTATAAAAGAAGTTACTAGAAAAATTGATCTCTCCTGCCTGTGGCTTAAGATAGCAGATTACACTCAAGTAGGCATGGATGAAGCATGTTTAGGAGCACCTGCCAAAGCCTTGAGGAAGACTCCTCCAAGGTCCATATCCCCCTTAGATTATATGAAAGAGGTGGAAAAGACATGAAGAAGTCAAGAAACATCTGCATCCCAATTTTAGGTACTGAAGTTCCCTAATTCAAACATTGGTGAAGTCCCTGCTCTAACCTTGCATGGGGTTGCCCACTCGAGCTCATAGTGTCCACTGATACTCAGTAATCTCCCAGTGACAACTTAGACCCATTTTTATTCTCTTGATAAGACAGATGGCAAGAGCTACTGCTGGACACAGAAGAGTGAGTGCCAAGCCAACTGTGCACACTTTATCCTACAGAGATGGACCACAATCTACCCACAACAGCCAGACAGTGGAAACTGATTGTCACTGATTCCTTGTCCAGAACTCAGACCAGCTCTTCCAGTTACTTATCAGCTCCTCAATAAGTATTAATTAATGGCTTATTTTCCTAATGGGAGTTGGGAATGTTGCCATATACATCTGTTCAGTGGCATTAGGCTGACCTAAATTAGACCTTTCCTGACAGCAGCCCCAGGCTTTTTTTCAACGGACCATCAGTTTGGAAGTCATTTACTCCTGAAATATGTCTGTAAGCAAACAATGTTCTTAGAAGATCAAGCACTTTGAATCTACAAAAAGAGAAAGGTATCTCTGTAGTAGGCTGAATAATGTTCCCCAAAGATATATCCTAATCCATGGAAACTGTAAATATTATTTTATTTGGAAAGGAGTCTTTACAGATGTGATTAAGTTAGGGATCTTGAGGTGAGACTATCCTGTATTCTCCAGGTGGACCCTAAATGCAAGCACTTGAATCCTTATAAGATGAAGGCAAAGGAAGATCACACATACAGACAGAGAGATGATGTGAATATGGAGATAGAGATTAAGGGCCACAAGCCAAGGAATATGGGCAGCTATCAGAAATGGGAAGAGTCAAGCAACAGATTCTCTCCTTGACATTTAAGAGGACATGCAGCCCTGTTAACACCTTTATTTTAGCCCAGTGAAACTGACTTATGACCTCCAGAATTATGAGAAAATAAAATTACTATTTTTAAGCTACCAAATTTGTGATAATTTGTTACAGCAACCACAGGAAATTAATACACCCTCCCACTGCTGCTCATTCCTCAGCTCCTGATAGACTTTGACTTGCAATAAAAAACACCAGAACAAGGCTTGCATCCTTTGAGGCTTGCTATACATGGACTGGTCAGGTTTATGGAGAAAGAACCAAATAAGAATAGAAAATTGTCTAGGAGTATCAATACTAGTAATCCACTCCTAGGATGCATCCAGTCTCCAGCATTTAAATTTCCAACTAAACTTAGTTTCCAGGTTTTTGACCCCAAGCTTCATCGAGTACATGCTTATGTAGTACAGAGAAGCTGCCTGACTCTCTCATAAGGCACCATAACTTAAGTTCAACTCCAAGCAAAAATTAAACATGTGCATTAGAGTATGAAGTATTTGTAATTCGTTGTGCTGGAGGCTATCTAATTCTTATGACACAATCTTTTTGCTGAAAAACTTAGAATGATCTGGGGAAGATAGACATGTATATCATTATTCAGACACTACTTATTGATCAACTATTATATACAAAGGACCATGCTAGGAAACGTGGAGCCTACAAGCAGAAAAGAGTCATTGGCCCTTCCCTAAAATAACTTACTCTATTAAAAGAAACAGACATACACACATTTATTCAGTTTTTCACACACTCATATATTTATTGAGTGTCATGCTCTATGGAAATACAAAGATTAAAAAATACTGCAAGTAAGCCTTCTTTTAGAAGAGGAGACAGTCAGAAAATCAAAATGAGCAATTTGCATGATAAAGGTTTCTAAAAAGATATTTCCAAACTACCATGAAATCAGGGATGAGCTCTTAATTCAAGCTGTGGGCAGAGGGAAGGGGCAATCAGAAATGCCTTTGAAAGGATGGAGTACTAAGGTGAGACCTGATAAATGAGTGGCATTAGCCAGGTTTTGAAATAGGAAGGTAAAAGAAATAGCACGGATGGCAAGAAATGAGAGTGAGAAATCTTGGCATATGTGTAGTCTCAAGAGCAATCAATATAGTTGAATTGCACAGTATAGTGGGAGTGACAGTTGAGTTGAGGCTGAAAAATGCCCCAGAAGACCTCCTGCATCCAGCTGATGTAGAAGTTTTAACTTGATCCTAAAGGCACTAGGAAATCGCTCTGGTTCAGAAGAGTGACGAGGTCAGGTTGGTATTATATAAAAGATTAATCTGGTGGTCACATAGGGAATGAACTAAAAGAAAGCAAGAGAACACACACACACACACACACACACACACACACACACACACACACACACACACACACGAAAATCAACTTGAAAAGCTATTGCAACATGACATACATAAGACCAAAAGTACAAAAAGTACTTTGAAAGGAATTATTATTGGCTTGGGGATGATATGTGTGTTTGGGGAGAAATGCGTGAAGAAAATAAAAAATAGATGATTAAATTGATAAAACTGGCTCATACCAAATCATAGTCTTAAGTACAAAGCTGAGGACCAGGGATCTAGAGCAGGTATTTGAGCAGTGGGGGAAAAAACAAAACAAAACAAAACAAGTTTTATGAGAACTACATGGCAACCGTGTATAAGTATTACCAAAAAATCCAACTAAGAGAAGGTAGTGCCCAGGTCTACAGCAGTAGTGGTAATGATGAAAAAGGAGAGGAACTGTCTAGAAAGAAATATCAGAGATAAAGCTGATAAAGCTTGCTGACTTGATGGAGACTGTGGGAATGCTGTCCTGGCCAGGTCTATTGAGGCATCCAGTTTTCCATCTAAGACTAATAATGAAGGCTAGATACTAAGTGCCAAGAACTGTGCCAAATGCTTTATTTCTTTATTTTTGTTTGTTTGTTTTGTTTTGTTTTGTTTTTGAGATGGAGTCTCGCTCTGTTGCCTGGGCTGGAATGCAGTGGCATGATCTCGGCTCACTGCAACCCCCACCTCCTGAGTTCAAGGAATTCTCCTGCCTCAGCCTCCTGAGTAGCTGGGACTGCAGACGTGTGCCACCACACACTCAGCTAATATTTGTATTATTAGTAGAGACGGGATTTCACTATGTTGGCCAGGCTCGTCTTGAACTCATGACCTCACATGATCCACCCACCTCGGCCTCCCAAAGTGCTGGGATTACAGGCGTGAGCCACTGCGCCTGGCCTGCCAAATGCTTTATATTTAGACTATCTGAAATTATCGCAACAATTCTATAAGATGCCATAATTATCTCATTTTACAGATGAGAAAACTGAGGCTGAGAGAAGTAAATGACTTGTCCAAGCTCACAAAGCTTTTATGTGGCAGAGGCAAGATTTAAACTCAAGTCCATCTGACTCCCAAAGCACCCTTGAAACTATGAGGCTGTATGGTTGGCCCTTGTACTACTCTAATTAGTCTGGAGAAAACAGTCTAGAAATAACCTTTATTCAACCACTTGCTGTTATGATTTTTCATGAAAGAGTCCCCATCTAGGGAATCCTATAATTGCAAACAAAACCTCACCAAAGACACCTACCTATATTGCTGCAGATTTGAAGCAGTATCCCACCATTTACCAATTTTTCTTGTAATATAAATTACCATATAGAAAACTTAGTACCATCTAATCAGGCCAAACTGAAATCAAGATGACAAGAGAATAGGGAGGGACCCTGGGAATAGATGTAATTGGGAGCCACTTCCTATTACTGGAAATCAAATAGATATCTTGAGAAGAAGTCAAGACCACAGAAAAACCTACCGACCTTTACCTCTGACTCCTCAATCTTTAGAGCTTAATTTTGGACTGCCATGGAAGCAGGTAGTATTAGGTGTTTCATTAATGCTTCCTAAGAAAGTGTTCACACTAAAGACAAGTGGATAGTAAAGCGTTTCTACCTCCAAACAAAGTAAATATTAGTATATAATATTAGTAAATAATAGTACATAATTAAATTTATAGGCCCAGAGTTTTCAAACACCTTTCTGGGAACTTCTATAGCACTAACCCCGTGTCATCACTGTTTTCCCCATTCTTATGGCTTGTTTATTGGTCATGCTTTTATCTGCGTTTTCTTTCATCATAAAGGGAGAAAATTTTTGGTTTACTACCTGACATAATGAGTCAACTCTCTTCTGACCAGCAAGCATCTTCTGTATTTACCATAATTCAAGGATGGAGGTTAGAAGTGAATAGCGGCATCCTCCTCCTCTGGCCTAATCATGGGCTGCCTTGAAGAAAATGCTAACAACATGGCATGCCTTGAAGAAAATACTAACAGCATATCTCAAGATATCTATTTCAGATAACAATCTGAAAGATTGTTAGCATCTATCCCGGGCTCTCTTACCCTTATTCAAGCCATGAATGTGCAAAAAAGAAAAAAGAAAAAATTTGAGAATCTGACTAGAGTGTCCCTAGATCCAGGACAAAGAGAGCCAAGGCATCCACTAGAATTCCATCAAAAAACCTAAATCTATTGCTTATCTTGGTATCTAATAATGAGCAGAGAAAGCTGAAAGTGACAACAGGATAAATTGAGACACTTAGCTTTTATTTCTTTGGCTTCTATCACTGGATTCCACTGGGCTGTTTGGCTAGAGGGTACAGTTCCAAGAAAAACCAATAAAGGAATTTTATTCAACCACCGATGATATAGGAGAGAATTTTTACAACCTTGTCTCTGCAGCACTCTAAATATCGTGTTTTAACTTAGTTGCTT
Organism: Homo sapiens; assembly: GCF_000001405.40. Classification (NCBI taxonomy): domain Eukaryota; kingdom Metazoa; phylum Chordata; class Mammalia; order Primates; family Hominidae; genus Homo; species Homo sapiens. Next base: position 78,691,258 of record NC_000014.9, on the reverse strand, counting down.
CCTAAGAGAAAACATATTTAACCCAAGAGCAAATAATTCTAAAATAATATTACTGATGTTCTACTACTCAAATTTATATAGGCCTCCATTCTCATAATATGCAATATCTGTGCAATAGCTGGCATTTCTCTCACTCCTTCCTCAACATCCTCTTTTCCTGGGTTTCCTGACTGTACACTTTCCAAGTAACTCTTTGATGACTCATTTCTGCCTCTCATTTTCAGACTCATTTTCTGTCAGCTCCTTTTCCAAATTTCTTAAAAAGAGGCTTCCCCCACGCATCTGATGAAGGCTCTCTTTCCTGTTTTCACTGCGGTGTCTTGGTAATTTCACTCACTAACACATCTTTACTTCTAGACCAAAACTCCCTCCAAAGCTTCAGGCTTCAAATCTGAATTGTCTGCTGGAACAATTCATCCACCTAAAATTAAAATTCTCTACAGAACTTTAAAATCAACCTGCCTAAAAGCAAACTCATCGGTTCCTCCTCCCAACTTCCTTATTTCTGTTAATGGTCACCTAAGCTCAAATTTGTGTAGATATATCTGAACCTTCTCTCTTCATTGTCCCAGAATTAATATTTTACTAAGTCCATTTAATTCCATATCCAATCTTTTTTATATTCATTTTCTCCACCCTATTCCTTCTGACACTGGTTCTATTTAAGACCATATTTTATTTGTTTACTCAACAAACAACCATGGAGAGCTTACTGAATGTTAGGACATGGTCTCTGACCTTAAGGAGCTTACAATTTAGTAGAAGTGTTACACATGTAAACATATGTGTACAATGATGTTAAGAGAGAAATATGGATATCATGTAAGGGATACTCCATGTAGATAGAAATGGTCTATTCTGTCCTAGAGAGATGGAATCTGGATTAAGTCTCTCATTGACAAGTACAATCTAACTTCCGAACTAGTTCTAACTCCAACTCCTATGTCTCCCTCCTTCAATCTACTTCCTCACACTGCTATCCTATACTTGGTCTATGATCCATAATTTTCTTAAGCACAATAACTAAGATGGGAGAAGGTTGGAGGAGAGGCATGTGAATAGGAGGGATCATTGGAGTGGAATAAAACAAAAGAGGCAGGCACAAGTTAGGATGCCATGGAGGTAACCCAGAAAATAATGATGAATATTAGAACTAAGAAGGTAGCAATGGCAAAGATAGACATGATTCAAGTCAATATGCCTAAGGAACGACTGGGTTTTGAAAGAATGTTTAAGGAAAGAATAATTGCTTTGAGGTCTCTAGGGTAACTAGTTAGATGTCAAGACACTGATAGAAAGAACTGAGTTGGAGAAGTGAGAGATAGTGGGGAGGAGCGGAGGAGGGAGAGAAGGATGGACAGCCAGAAGGAAGGGCAGAGAGAAAGAGGAGGAAGGGGGAGAGGGGAGAGAGGTTGAGAGAGAGAGAGAGAGAGAAAGAGAGTGAGACCAAGCCACTCAACAGACCACCAGAACTAAGCCAAATTATACTCCAGAGAAGGGGTGTCAATAATAGTACATTATTCCAGCCTAGAAGGAGGAAGCAGCCCATTTTTCATTTGATATTAAGATATTGAGTCACCATTTTACCCTGTACTATATTCCTATACTATTTATCTACATATGTTTATTATAGCCAACTAACCTAAATAGAAATAAACCTCTGCCAAATTATTCTAGTGATACCATATATTTGTGGTCTTAATCTCTTGTATTCCCTCTGAGCACTTCTTTTCCATCCTGGAACTCTTGTATCTTTCCTAGGAAATTTAACTGAAAAGGACTTAGGGCAGAAATTATGCCCATGTTTAAAGTAAGCATTTAATAAGTACTCAAATAACAAGAAGTGCTATAAAAATGTTCTATTATACTAAAATGAATGCCCCTCAGTAGTTCTAACCAAATTATGAAAAATAGCTCTGAATTATTAAAATACCAAAATAGTTAATTTAATGAAGTCTGATGGTGATGATTATTTTGCTAGTGATAATCATTAGTGAAGATGGTGATGAAGGAGGAGGAGGAGGTAAAAAAGAAGAAAAATACAACGATGAGTATGGCACTAACTATACTTTTAAGTAGTTTTTAGAGAAATTTCAAAATAACAAGAGAAAACAATAACAAAAAGAACAGAAACACAAAGAGCATCAACCCCACTGATTTGAGATTTAAAAAACCTTTAATCCTATCTTTATTCCACAGTTCTTAGATTATATATTTAATCAGCTACAGTACTATCCCCTTCAAATTTGGCCAGAGAGTACAGAATATAGACTACATATTTCCAGGAACATAGAAAGTGAAGAAAAACCTCTTGCAAAGGTATTTAAACTTTCTTTCCTTGATTTCTAGGACATAATCTGCTTTTTTCTCCTGATTTTATTAATGTGAGCGCTCAATCTTTTTTCTCTATACTTTTCCTATCAGAGCCCATCTGTGTTCCCTGTTCTCTTTTCTCTATGAAGAGGGCTCCTCCATGTTTATGCTGGCACTGGTTTTTCTCTATGTCTGACTTATATCTCCAACTAATATCTGAATGCTTTTCATTTGAATACCTTTTTATCAGGTCAGCATATTTCAAAAGACAAAACCATCATCTGGCCCACAAACCTGCTCCCTTTCCTGACCACCTATCTTCTTGACACCATGTCCCTTTTCACTACTGACCCCACTTTACTGCTATGATTACAGCAAAACTCTTCCAAAAGTTGTCTATGACCATTTTCATCAATTCCACACTTACCATTCTCTTCTCAGCCCCCTTTAAATTAGCCTCTTCTTTATACCAAACCAGTAAAATGGTCAATAGCTTGCCAGATCCAATAATTAAATCTCATTTTCCTTGACCTCTCAGCATTCCCTTTTTCTTGCAATACTTACTTCTTGAGGCCTTTTAAGATTCAATACTCTCTTGTGTTTCTATCTACCATGAGAACCTCTCTCTTTTTATTTCCTTTGTTGGTTTTCTCTCTGTAAGATCTCTACCTGTTGAGAGCCCTCATGTTCTGTCTTTGGATTCCTTCTCTATAGGAATTCCTTCTTTATAGGAATCCAAAGATAGAACTTGAGGGTTCTCAACAGGTACCTATAAGTCCTGATACTTTAAGTGTCATATTCATGTTGTGGATGCTCAAATTTATTTCTCTACCCCTAGATTTTCTCCGATCTTAAGAATCATATCTCCAAGTGTCTTCTTGACATCTCCACTCAATAGGCTTTTAAACTAAAAAAGGCTAAAAAAGAAATATGGATTTCACATCCCCCCAGCTCATTCCTTTCAAATATCTGCACTTGGATAATGCCATTAACAGTTATTCAAACCAGGAAGATACTATAGAGTCATTGGTGTTGCTGTCTGAGTAGGCTCTAGTCCTTTGTCTCCTGGCACAAGACAGGATTGTATTTATCGGCCCCTTGTGCAGGATGGAGCCATATGATTACTTCTGGCCAATTAGTTTGAGCAGAAGTGTTATGTGTCATGTCGAGGCCAAATGCTTAATCACTCCCAGGGTGAAACCCTTTAAATTTTATTTATCCCTTTTCAATGTCAACCAGCAATGTTCCAGTTAGTGGTTACCCTGCCATCCCATGTCCTAGAGTAAGAACAATAATAAACAAAGCAAAGCCACCAGCCAAAACACAGGGATATACAAATTACTGAGAAATAAACCTCTTTTGTGTTAAGCCTCTGAGATTTTGGAACAGTTTGTTGCCACAACACAGCCTAGCTTATCTTGACTAATAAAGTTATCCTCAGTTACTCACCTCGCATACTCAATGTACAATTCATCAATAAATCCTGTTGACTCTACCTCCAAAATATATCCCACACTCATCTACTTACAATTCCCATCACTTCTACTCTAATCCACATTGCTATGTTTCCTCCCTGGGTTGCAGTAACAGCCATCTATGTATCTTCTGTCTCTTCTAGCACACACCATACTCCACCCTCCATAGAACAGCCAGGGGGGTTTTCCTAATTCAGACCAGTCACTCCCTTGCTAAATAGCGCTTGATGGCTTTTTCATTGTAACCAGAATAAAATCCAAACTTCTTACCATGGCTTAAAGGCTTTATATAACTTGACCTTCCCTAATTTGTTCTTTTTCATGTCCCTTGAATTCAACAAGCACCTGAATCTCAGGTCTTTGCATCTGCTTCTCCTTCAACTTTTTGTCAAGCAAATCCCAGATTCTATCAATTCCCATTTCTAAAATGCACTCCATCATCTTCTCCCTCATTGTGCTTTATTTCCTCTCCTCATAGCATTTATACCACCATATATAACTTAGATTTCTTTGCTTGCTTTTTGCCCCACTTACTAGAATGCAAGCTCTATGAAAGCAGGGACCCCTCATGTTGTTACTATTGTTGTTATTCATTGCTGTATGCTTAGGCTCAGCAGAAAGTCACATTCAGTGAGCTAGAAGTGAACACAGGGAATTATGCAAACCTTCCCTATATTTCTACTTTCCCAAGCATCAAGGGTTCTGCTGAGACTTCAGTGTTCCCTTGGGGTGTTCAAGTCTTTGGATTTTGAGTTATTAGATTTTGATTTTTTACTTCATATATATTTTTACTCATATATACAAAGGTACGCACATACACTGGTAATATATAAACACGGAAGCATGCACACACATGCAGACACTCACACATTACTAATCTGTATGCTAGCTGAGTATTACCAATTGGGTTTCTCAATATGAGGGAGGCTGTGGCCAGCCCAATTCACTCTTATTCTCTCTCACCAATGGCAAAACCTGCTTTCCAGGAGGCGTCTTCTTTTCCAATGTTGTGCTCCACCATCAAAGCAGACAATTAATGGCAATTTCCATCTGTGAGTGAGATGCTGTCTTGGCAGAATCCAAGAGCTCCTGACAAGTCCTGATAAAGTCTTTTGTTCCAATAAAGAACTGTAAAGTTATTTCAGAGAAATGGTACATTGGGAAATAACAGATTCTGCTAGTGCCAAGAGAATATAGTCATCATTCATTTATCGATCCACTCATTAGGCAAATAAATGTGGAAGCCATGCCAGAGAGAAAAGTAAGTTATTCATTCAACAAACATGTATTGAATTAAAATACTAAGTGCCAGGAACTGTTCCAAAGTAGATGACACAGATGCAGTTTTACTTTCATGAACTTTAAAATCTAAGGGGATGGGGCAAATAAAGAAGTGAATTTACGGCATGTTAGATGGTGATGGACAAGCTAAACGGAAGAAGGAGTGCTAGGATAGGGTGGAGGCTTATTCTTGTTTTTATTTGTACAGGGTAGTCAGGAAAGGCCTATAAAACTGTGACATGGCCGGGTGCGGTGGCACACGCCTGTAATCCCAGCACTTTGGGAGGCCGAGGTGGGTGGATCACCTGAGGTCAGGAGTTCGAGATCAGCCTAACACTGTGAAACCCAGGCTTTACTAAATACAAAAAAAAAAAAAAAAGAAAGAAAAACATTAGCTGACATGGTGGTGCATGCCTGTAATCCCAGCTACTCAAGAGGCTAAGGCAGGAGAATCGCTTGAACCCAGGAGGTGGAGGTTGTGGTGGGCTGAGATCATGCCATTGCACTCCATCCTGGGCAACAAGAGTGAAGCTCCATCTCAAAAAAAAAAAAAAAAAAAAGTGACATTTCTTCAGAGCTTTGGAAACATGAGAGAACAAGCCATACAGACATTTGAGTAATGACAATTCCAAGCAGACAGACTACAGTAAGGACAAAAGTCTTGAGCAGTCATGTGAACAGCATGTTCAAAGAACATCAAGGAGATTGGTGTGGCTGCATCAGGGTGAATGAGGAGGTGCACATTGGAGATGAGGATAGAGAGGCAGCAAGGGCCAGATTGTACAAGGTCTTATAGGCCTTTTAGAACTTGAGCTCTGATTCTGAGCAAGATGGAAAGCCACTGGAGGGTTTTGAGTAGATAGGAGCATATGTGCCTCTTACATTTTTAAGAGGAATACTGCAGCTGCTAGGGAGCTATAGACTTGGGAGAGAGGGAGATCCAGGGGCAAAAACAGAAACAGAGAAAGCATTTAGAAAGTTGTTGCACCAATGCAATGAGAAATGATGGTAGCTTAGGCTAGGATGTCACATACAGCCTTTACTCATGCCCAGATCACTTTAATGGCTCCTCCTCTGTGGTCCTAAAGCACTGAGGAAAGGCCTTGTTAAAGTACTTCTTAATTTGCATTATAACCCTTGATTTACTTGTCTATTTCCCTAACCAGATTTAGAGCTCTTCAGTTTAGAAAGATAGGTTCTAGCTGCCTTTCATACATTAGGCACAAACAAGTAACAAGCCCAAAATATGTAAAGCATAATACAAGTCAATTAACTTATTAGGAAAATAAGCAGTACAATGAAGTTGCATGATATTTATGTATAACTTACACAAATTCAGCTTTCAATACTCTTGGGGAAAAAATGAGAGGGAGTAGGATATTTTGTTGTTGTTTTTGAGACAAGGTCTTGCTCTGTCTCCCAAACTGAAGTATAGTGATACAATCATGGGTCACTGCAGCCTCGAACTTGTGGGCTCAATGGACCCTCCTGCCTCAGCCTCCTAAGTAGCTGGGACTACAGGTGTATTCCACCATGCCCAGCTAATTTTGTAGAAATGGGGACTCACTATGTTGCCCAGCTGGTCTTGAACTCCTGACCTTGAGTGACCCTCCTGCCTCAGCCTCCCAAAATGCTGGGATTACAGGTGTGAGCCATTGTGCCTGGACTGAGAATTTTCTATTTACCACATAACCCTTTTCCTCATTCCAAGTAGACCTGACTTCCGTGTCTCCTGGAAAGGGGTGTCTCAGAAGAAATACAAAGCAAAATCAACAATGCTAAATCCTGGCTTTGGAGCTTTCAAGCGTCTAATTTAGGAGTAGTTTAAAAGCCTTATCCAGGCCAAATTTGATTATAAGCATTTTTTAACCTCATGTGCCAATTTCAGAATGTAATGTCCACATAAGCCAACCCTATTGTGCCCCCTCGTTAGAGGCCTCTGTTACTCCACACATCCAGGGCCTGCCTGTAATACTTGCCAAAGATCCATAGACCCTGACTGTTAGATCCTGGCTTCCTTCCAAGGTCTTTCAACTCCAAGATAAGTATGGTTAATACAGTCAGAGAAGAGAGGCCCCCAGATGAGATGTAGTCCATTATCAAAGCCTAAGGGACAAAGATTTAAGAAGACAATATGATCTCCAAGTAGAAAAGTGAGAATCTTTATTCAATAGATGACATTATCCTTCCTTTAGAGTTAACTAAGAAGTAAACCATCCTTAAAAATGGTTTACATAAATACTGCTGGTGTGATTAAGATGTCTTTCCAAATTCCACCAGGGAATCATCAATCTAAGATGTAACTAACATAAAATAAACAGAAAATTTGGAAATTTTAACATATCATAAATTATGAAGTAAGTCACGACAAAATATTCTATTGATCAATAAAGAATTCTAAAAGGAGTCTTTGGAAAGTGACAAAAGTTTGTCACTCCAAATGCATTCCTTTTCCTGACATACAAAATTCTCAACAACTTGGTCCCCAGCTACTTTTACCACACATAAAGATCCTCTCCTCTCTTAGAATACACTCACTGTCACTAATACAGTGCAATCTGCGGAATCTTGCTCCACTTATCTGAATCTCAACTACATGTCATAACCTATTTATCTGTATTTACTTATTTTCACTAGTCTACCCTTCCATATTCTGCTTTGTGAAGCTGGGGCACTCTGTAGCGGAATAGGATGGTTCAGTGTGTTTTTCTACAAACTAAATAAAGCACGTCTAAAATGGACCAGCACCTCTTGCTCTGATCTCGTAACTCAAACGTTAGACAAACTGCCTCAAACTGACCACAAGCTAATTCGGATGAATGACTGAGTGTCACAGGTATGAGGAAATGGCTGTGGATAATTTGCACATTTTTAATTCTCTAGAATAATGTCCAATAGCAATATAAAATAAGTGGCATATGTAATTATAAATTTTCTAGTGGCTACATTTTTTAAAAGTAAAAAGAAGCCAGTGATGTTAGTTTTAATAATACATTTTACTTAACCTAATATATCCAAAATTTTATCATTTCAACATATAATCAACATAAGAAACTTTTTCTAAGATCTTTCACTTTTTTTGGTATTAAGTCTTCAATATACAGTGTGATTTTAAACGTAAAACACACCTCAATTCAGACCAGGCACATTTCAAGTGCTCAGCAGCCAGATGTGGATTGTGGCTACTGTACTAAACAGCAAAGCTCTGGAATGATTTTCTACCATGACATTCTGACATATTACTAAGTCACTAGTAAATTTCTGCTAGTCTGAAAAATAATTCCTTGCTTTCTGATAATACTTGATGAAGAGCTAGTGAGGAAGTGGAACATAATGACTGACTATAACCATGGGCTTGGAACCCATGAGAATGTGGATTTTAATCCCAGTTCCAAACCCAAATCAGCAGCATGGCCTTGGGAAAGCTATCTTTGTGCTTTAGATTCTTTCCCCAACAAGCCCCACCCCAATTCCCCACCCAAACCCCATCCCATCCACAATGACAGTGTAGTATCTGTCTCCTAGAGTTACTGCGAGGACTGAATTAGTTCCTACAAGTAAGCACTTAGGACACTGTTTAGCATATAGTAAATGCTCAATTAATGTTGACCACTATTATTAGCTAAAATCAATGCCCTGAGGCTGTAGCACTGAGGACTAGACAGTAGCTGAAGTGATTCCACAACGGTACAGGCAGCTGCCTTAACAAGGCCCAGGCTCAAAAAGCCCAATGACTGTCAAAGTGTCGTACTTGGTTCCTTGGGGCTTTTATTTCCTCAAAAAAAAAAAGTATCAGATGTTTGGTGCAGGGAAGATATGCAGGTGCTCACATCTTCCCTGCACCAAACATCCTACTGCTGATACTTCGTGATGCTGACAGTCTTAATCCATGAACTAAACAGAACAGTGAATGGACAGACAATAGGAACAGAATCCACAGGCATAGAAAGCCAGTTTCAGATTTGTTTTGGCAAATCCAGCCCAATTTTCAGCACTGGAATGAACCAACAAAAAAGTATCAATCGGCCAGGTGTGGTGGCTCACGCCTGTAATCCCAGCACTTTGGGAGGCCGAGGCAGGTGGATCACAAGGTCAAGAGATCGAGATCATCCTGGCCAACATGGTGAAACCGCATCTCTACTAAAAATACAAAAATTAGCCGGGCATGGTGGCGCTCGCCTGTAATCGCTGCTACTGGAGAGGCTGAGGCAGGAGAATTGCTTGAACCCGGGAGGCAGAGGTTGCAGTGGGCCGAGGTTGTGCCACTGGACTCCAGCCTGACAACAGAGCAAGACTCCCATAAAACAACAGCAACAACAACAAAAAAAACAAAACCGAGTATCAATCACGCAATGAGGAAAAGAGCTTTCTTGATCTTCTACGTGTCTTTTCCCCAGAGTGGCTTCTCATCTCCTTCACTGATAAGAGAACATACATGGGGTGCGAATGGGAAATTAAAAAGGAGACCCACTTTTCCAAAAAACAATTTCTGAAAATTAGTCATCTGCTTTGGGAGGTGTAGTCATTTTCCTTTAGGCTCAAACAGTCTATAAAATAAACCAAGTCCATTCCCCTCTGAAAATTCATTATCCAGGAATGATTGAGGTCCTAACAAACGAAAAATACTTATGTTTCCTCCTCTGGCATTATCAAAGAATCTGAGGTCTCCACAGAGCAATTTACAAACCACTGATCTGAAGTATTTCACTGATTTTGAAAACTGAAAATATGGAGAGGGTCTTGCTGTAAAGATTCAAGCAAATCCCAATCCCGATTCCTACTTATTTCTATTTTTTCTCTTATGGTATCTGTGCCTATAGGGATAAGGGTTTTCAAGAACATTTTGCAAATCTGGAAGCAAAGCCATTTGTCCAGAACATCTGCACGTGGATTCTAACTCCCGCTCCAGAAGAAGATGTGGCCTTGCTATGCTACATTTGCATTAAGAACTGACAGATTCCAGTGTTCAAAAACAATCCTTTAAATGGGCATGCATCGATTGTCAATGTCAATTATTTTAGAATGTGACATAAGCCCCAAGCACATAAGACTGTGTCATAGAAAGAATTGAGCTTTCCAGAAAGATTTGGAAGGACTCAACCCCCAAATGGAGTGTCTCTATCAGCTGCTTGCTGCTATGAAGGACTCTGGGTACCAAATGAAGCTGTTTTAGTGAATACTACATCTGTTGCTTTCCTGTGTAGCCACCATGTTTCTGATAATACTTTTATCCCTGGATAATTAACTCAGAAATTAAATAAAGTGTGTGTTTATGGTCTCTTCCTGCCAATCCATAGCCCACTGAAAATATCAGGGTATCAATTTAGGGTGCATTTCCTCAGATTGTAGACATGCTAGTTCAGGAGGTAGACCAGACAACTTGGGCAGAAACCAGAGTATTGAGGTCCTCAGGGTAGACTCTTAAGCCCAGGAAAGTCACTTAATGACATCTGAAAAGGAGAGGGACAGCAACAGACAAAAACTACAAAAACTGTTGAGTTGTTTGTTCCAGTTGATAAAATCAAACCACTCTACTTTCAGTTGCTATAAGTTAAAGAACTAATTTAAATGAGCTAGAAGACTGCATTCATGTACAAGCTGGGGAAGGGAGTAGCAGGAAAAAAAGGAGTCAAATTCCAAACTCAGATTCCACTGGCAAAACCAGTCTTTATGTTAGTATTTCAAGTGCAGCCAATCCAAAATTCTGAATCACAGTTTCTGCTCAAGAACCTGTCGTCTCTTATTTTTTAAGGTTTACAATATGTATTTTTTCAGTAATAAATAGAAAAGGTGCTTCTTTTCTTTATTTAACTTTTAACTTCAGGGGTACAAGTGCAGGTTTGTTACGTAGGTAAACTTGTGTCATGGGGATTTGTTGTACAGATTATTTCATCACCAAGTATTAAGCCTAGCACTCATTAGTTATTTTTGATGATCCTCTCCCTCTTCCCACCCTCTGTCTTCCTACAGGCCCCAGTGTGTGTTTCCTTCTATGTGTCCATGTGTTCTCATCATTTAGCTCCCACTTATAAATAAGAATATGCAGTATTTGGTTTTCTGTTCCTGTGTTGGTTTGGTAAGGATAATGGCCTCCAGTTCCATCCATGTATATGCATATATACACAATATAAAATATGTAATTATATGTAATTATACATATACTTATATAATCTTAGATTATAGATTAGTCATTATTAGTGTTACTTTTCAAGTTAAATGTCAAAACCAAAGAGCAATAGAAATCCTTCTATTTGGCTGTAGAATCTCATGTCCTTAAACATTATATTGACTCAAAAGCTGATGAAAACTAGACAACGGATTTGAACCAGGAGAAGGATATCTTCTCCCTGATCATCATTTTATCTCCAACACTTAGCACAGTGCCTGACATATGGAAGTGTTTAATACATGGTTATTTGATAAATTAATCAATGAATGCTCAGAAGTTTATTCAAGCTCAATAATTCAATGATCTCAACGTTTCCATCCTTGTCAAACTACTGCTTCAGGGTTTCTAGAAGGCCATTGTAGCATTAAACCTCACTTCCCACTCACAAATAAAGGAAGCAAAGCTGGCATCACTCTTGGAAGAGAAATTTCAATACACTTATTCTGAAAAATTTAGTAGCTTTCTATACATTAGCATGTTATTAAAGTTAATTCATCAAATTGAAATTAATTAATTAAGAGAAGAGCCATTTTCTGTTGCACAGTTGGGCTTTCAGGCTAAGCTGAATAATATAAGGTTTTTAAAATCATATAACAACAAAAATAAATATTTTGTTTAACTATTGTAGAAAATGTAAGAAAAAGACTAACACAAAAAAGGGTCCACACTAATAACAATGATAAGGTAGATCAACCATATGGTCCACAAAGACTAAAACACAGGACATTCTGTGATGAGAATTGTTGATCTGGCAGACTCCATTGTTAATTATACATTTCAAACTCTAGAGAGAAGATAAGGATTTCGTATCTACTAATCAATGCCTCCAAAGAGGGAAGCCTACAGTGGGTAAAAAATGAATGTATTTTGGTAATACTTTTTTTCTATGAAAACAATCATTTATAACAATTTTTGTGCCTTTATTTCCTGTTGCTGCAGTAATCATATCTGCTTTGAGGGTTTGGTTGTGTTTTGCTTTATCGTCTGAAGGAGAGTATGGCCCTGTGATCTTCTCATCTATCCTGACATTTTTGAAAGATGGTACATGTGAGCAATTGAGGCCAGAGTAATGAAATTCTGCAGGACTAGAAGAACTACAACAGTTCTAAATTTAAAAGACAGCAACTTGGTGCTAATAAAGAAGAGACCAGCTCCAAGCTGACACCTGCAGGGAAGGCCACTCACTGGGGCTTAGTAGAATAGGAAATGAGGGAGGTAATGTGCAATATATGCACCTTTGAGGCCTCTGGATTCTCAGTAGAAACAAGGACCTTAAAATGGGAACTTTAGGCATATGTTTTACAGGGTAAATCTGGCTTACACTATATTGAGTTGGTTTATACTACATTATTTGATTTATTGGCAATACCAAAAACTGTCAAGGATGCAAGGAAACTGGAATATTTATATTCTGCTGGTGGGAGTGTGAATTTGTACATCACTTTGGAAAGCAATTTGGCAATACCTAGTAAAGTTATAAACATCCAGCTTATGACCTAGCAGGAAACTGCACTTCTAGGTATATGTACTAGATAAACTCTGGCACAACTGTGGATGAAAATATACTGGAGTAGCTGGGTGTGGTGGGAGATAATTTTAGCTCCAATCACTTAGGGAAGCTGAGTCAATTGCTTGAGCCCGGGAGTTCAAGACTAGCCTGGGCAACACAGTGAAACCCTGTCTCTACAAAAAAAAAAAAAAGTATGGAGCATGAAGTAACAGTTAATATGAATGAATGAAATCAACATAGATAAATCTTATCAACATAGACAAAACATTATGTTTAAAAAGTAAGCTGTACAGATATGCACAGTATGATACCATTTATATAAATTTTGAACACTCAAAGTGTAATATATATTGCTTAAGGACATAAACACATACAGATATATCTCAAAAATATTAATATTGTGGGTTCAGTGACAGACCACTGCAATAAAGAGACTATCACAATAAAGTGAGTTACACAAATGTTTTTTCATTTCCTGGTGCATACAAAAATTATGTTTACACTATACTGTAGCCTATTAAGTGTGTAATAGCATTATGTCTAAAAACACAATGTACAAACCTTAATTAAAATCACTTTATTGTTAAAAAAAATGCTAACAGTCATCTAAGTTGACAGCCTTCAGTGAGATGTAATCTTTTTGCTGGTGTAGGGTCTGCCTCAGTTTTGATAACCACTGATCAGGCTAGTGGTTACTGAATGTTGGGGTGGCTGTGCAATTTCCTAAAATAAAACAACAACGAAGTTTGCCACATTGATTGACTCTTCCTTTCACAAAAGATTTCTTTGTAGCATGTAATGCTGTTTGACAGCATTTTACCTTCAGCTGAACTTCTTACAAAATTGGAGTCAATCTTCTCAAACCTTATCATTCCTTTACCAATTAAGTTATGTAATATTCTAAGTCCTTTGTTGTCGTTTCAACATTGTCCACAGCATCTTTACCAAGAGTGGATTCCATCTCAAGAAACTGCTCTTTTATTGCAAATCCATAAGAAGCAACTCCTCATCCATACAAGTTTTATCATGAGATTGCATCAATTTAGTCATATCCTAAGCTCTCCTTCCAGGGTTTTTTTTTTTCCTATTTTCACCACATCTGCAGTTACTTCCTCCACTGAAGTCTTGAACTCCTCAAAGTCATCCATGAGGGTTGTGATCAACTTCTTCCAAACCTCAAAGTCATCCATGAGAGCTGGAATCAACTTCTTCCAAATTCCTGTTAATGTTGATATTTTGACCTTTCCTCATTAATCACAAATGTTCATAATGGCATCTAGAATGGTGAATCCTTTCTAAAAGGCTTTGTGATCCATCAGAGAAATCACTATCTATGGAAGCTATAGCCTTACAAACTGTATTTCTTAAATAATAAGGCTTAAAAGTCTAAATTACTCCTTGAGCTGCAGAATGATGTTGTGTTAGCAGGCATAAAAATATTAATCTTAGTGAACATTTTTATCAAAGCTCTTTGGTAACTAAGTGCATTGTCGATGAACAGTAATATTTTTACATAAAATACTTTGTTTTCTGAGTAGTAGGTCTCAAAAATTGGCTTGAAATATTCAGTAAACCATGCTGTAAACAGATGGGCTCTCATCCAGACTTTGTTGTTCAACTTACAGAGTACAGGCAGAGTAGATTCAGCATAATTCTTAGGGCCCTAGGATTTTCAGAATGGCAAATGAGCATTGGTTTCAACTTAAAGTCACCAGCTATATTAGATTCAAAAAAGAGAGTTTAGCCTGTCCTCTAAAGCCAGGCACTGACTTTCCCTCTCCAGCTATGAAAGTCCTAGATGGTTTCTTATCCAATAGAAGGCTTTTTATCTACATTGAAAATATGTTGGTTAGTGTAGCCATCTTCATCAATGATCTTACCTAGATCTTCTGGATAACTTGCTGCAGGTTCTATATCAGCACTTGCTGCTTCAATTTGCACTATTATGTTATGGAGATGGCTTTTTTGAACTAACCTTTACTAATTTCAAACCTTTCTTCTGCAGCTTCCTCACCTCTCTCAGCCTTCATAAAACTCAAGCATTAGGGCATTGCTCTGGATTAGGCTCTGGATTAAGGAAATGTGTGGCTGGTTTGATCTTCCACCTAGAGCAGTAAAACTTTCTGCATATCAGCAATATCTGTTTTACTTTCTTATCATTCATGTGCCCACTTTTAATTTCCTTCAAGAACTTTTCTTTTGCCTTTACAGCTTGGCTAACTTTTAGGCCTTTACAGCTAGGCCTAAAAGGCCTAGCTTTCAGCCTATCTTAACTTTAGATATGCCTTTCTCACTAAACTTATTAATTTTTAGCTTTTGATTTAAAGCGAGAAATGTGCAACTCTTTCTTTCTACTTGAGCACTTGGAGGCCACAGTAGGGCTATTAATTGGCCTAATGTCAATATTATTGTATCAAAGAGAATAGGGAAACCTGAAGGGAGGGAGAAGGCTGGAGGAACAGCTGGTTGGTGGAACAGTCAGAACCCATGCAACATTTATCTATGAACATTCTACATGGGCATGGGTGATGGCACCCCAAAACAATTACAATAGTAACATCGAAGATAACTAATCATAGATTACCATTGACAAATATAATAATAAGTTTCAAGAATTACCAAAATGCAACACAGAGACATGAAGTCAGCACACGCTGTTGGAAAATGCTTGATGCAAGGTGGCGGCAAAACTTCCATTTGAAAAAAGAAAATTCAATAACTCAAAAGTGCAAGAAGGTAAAGAGCAATAAAATGAGGTATGCCTGAATAGTCAAATTTTAAAATATGGCCCAGAAGACGCCATAGAAACTTCAGGATAGTTGTTTCCTGTGACACTAGAATCTTTCCCAACACTACCAATCTGTCTGAGCTGGCATAATAATAAAATTTATTTGATCCTGTAATTTCCCTAAGGTATTTCAAACCTTCTCTTCTCACTGTATCCTTAAGCTTTGAAATTGATCTAGGGCAAAATTAACTCATCAAGGATCTAATGGAGCTACTCCAGAACTGCTGAAAAAATTTAGAGGAATAAAGGTATGGTAAACAGAAATGCACTGGACCAGTTACTCTCCTGGATCCATGCACTTGGCTTCTCTTCTTCCTTTGACTCCTTTCTATATAATGGGCTCTCAGAAGAGACATCTTACAGGTATTTCTTTATGTTTAGAGACTTTTAGATTCCACTCATTTCTTTATTAATTCTTGCCCAGGCTTTTGTTGCTATAAGATGACCTGGGGGCTGATTTGCATGTGGGAGATTCTCTTCTGTCTCCAATGCCTAGAAGGCCAGGTGGTAAGGAAGGTGAGGTGCAAAGAAAAAGCCTCCCAATTCTGCCTCTTATTTAGGCCTTATGTCTGTTCACAGGACAAGGAGACCAGAGAGAGCTTTAAAACTGCACTTGGTCTGGCACATTCTAGACAATGACTAAGTGCTTCTTCAGAGTCTGGTGCCACCTACTTAGCTGCCATTCTAGTTCTTTATCACCCTACACTGAGCACCTGCTGTGTGGAGAACTCATCACTGTCTTCATGCTCCTTTGTTGACTCAATCATTCTTAGACTACATCTGACATCTAAAATAGCTTGTACTATTCTTAAGTACAGAGAGCCTTGCTTCTCTATTGTAAATGGGAAATTATGAAGACTGAGGAATGTTTTCTGTGGATACTTTCAACCAAGACACTGAATTTAGAGTGGACAAAAAGGACTACTTTTATTCTAATTCAAGCAAAACATTTTAATGTGACCTGGAAGACATAAAAGTCATCAGTGTAGGGCTGAAAAGTCACCTGCCTCTCCAACCCCCTCTCCCCTAATAGTCTATAAATACTGGGATGTTTTTACTCTGGGGAACAATTAAGGAACTTTCACCTACCACACTCACTGCTAATGGATCAGCACCGAAACCACAACTTCTTTTGCCCCAGCCACATAAACACTCACAATGTGGTAAGAAATGTTATTCCCCACCAAAATTATCTGGATACATGCCCTAGGCATGAAAGACTTTTCCCTTATGAGCACCAATGATTCATTTGAAGAAGTAATGATTTTCCTGTTCTTGAGATGCCAAGGATCTCTCAATTTTATTAAAAATTTTGTTAAAAATTTCAATGTGCTTGGAGTAGGGTGCATTGGCCAGGGATCCAGGGCTTCAGAAAGGTCCCCCATTATTTGCAGAATAATCAGTGCCTACAAATGTGTTAGAAGTTTGTAGACACCAAAAACACCTTGCCTTTATAAGCAAATAGATTTGAAAGAGGCTTTGATTATCTCAGGCCAGCTTCTGCCTTGTTTTAACCTCAAGTGAGCAGAGTTTAATCTGAGAGACACACAAAAGCCCTAATGCCCTCATTCCTGACCCAGTCCTGACAGGGACAGGAGGCATAATAGCTGCTTCTGTCCCAGTTTCTGATAGGCAGTTCGGTCTGCAAACCCAGAGAGCACTCATGAGCTATGGGCTGCCATGTGGCCACTGGGTGGCAGCCATATCTGCTCTGTCACATGGGCCCACTATAGGCATAGGTTTTTGGATGATGGTCTTGGATATGCTGTCTTACGTTCCACTCCCCTCAAAAAACCTGAGATAACTGTGAACTTTAGTTTGCTTAGATTGGGCCATGACAAGACTTCCTACGGAAGGTGCCATGGACTGAATGTTCACATTTTCCCCAAATTCATATACGGAAGCCCTGATCTCCAACATGATGGTATTTGGAGGTGGGACCTTTGGTTCTAATTAGATCATGAGTAGGAGCCCTCATGAGTGGGATTAGCGCCCTTAGGAGAAGAGAAACAAGAGAGATGATCTCTGCTTTCCACCATGTGAGGATACAAAAAGAAGGCCATCTGCAGACCAAGAAGCAGGCCTTGATCTTCGGCTTTCCAGCCTCCAGAACCATGAGAAATAAATGTTTGTTGTTTAAGCCACCCAGTCTATGGTATTCTGTTAGGGCAGCCTGAACTGACGGAGACATCTGGGAATCTGTCTTTATTTTCGTACCCACACCCCAAACTTGACATGTGTTTTGGAACCATATATAGCTCCACCTGACTCCTATAACCTCCAAGTGCCAGTGCCACCTCATGGATGACACCGCTGGCATCAATAGTGGCTTGAACCATTGCTTGGACTGCCTGGCTGCCCTGTAAAATGAAACAAAATCAAAACAACACAAAAACACCACACAGCCTCTGCAGCACAATTGGCTGCACCAGGCTTTGTGAGACATTCCAAAGAATGAATCTTGCCCATGCAGGTTTGATTCATTCCCCCAACTCATGGGGTCTTTTGTCACTGCCAATCCCAGCAGGCCTAGTACCTGGACCTATTAATTTATGACAGGTGACTTAGATTTCAGGTCACAGGATTTAACCTGCAGTAAATCCAAATTTGCATAAGGATAATCGGCATTCTACTACATTTGATGCCAATAAACTCTAATGTGGTAATTAACCACTGAGCACATTTACTGATAAGCTGTTCATTAGAGAAAAACATGACAACTAGCAGTGTTATCAGAGTCCACAATTTTCAAATCTCTTTTAGAAATGCTTTTCTGCCTATAGGGACTAAAAGCTAGCAAAAATCACAGAGTAGTCATTCTCAATACTATTTTCATGAAATCTCCAGTATAATAAACCCTTAGAAATGAGAACCAGGCTTACAGATTTCACTTTATTTTTTTCATTTAAGCTTTCTCTTCACCTTGCATTTCTTTCATGAGATACTGAACTGAAGAAGGCATTGGCAACTTCTTTTTTGTTTGTCTATGTTAAGCCAGGATTGGCTCATTCGGTCACACAGCAAGCATGTTTTTATATATCGGTATGTTATGCTAGAGGGAAGAGTCCTGTGGGCGTGACCAATTCCCATTAATAGTGCATCTAGCATTTAGTCTTCTCTTTCAAAAATATTTTCTCTCCTAGTCCTCTATAGGTGGCGTACTCCCAACTCACTGTCTCTTGGACCTGATTCTCTTTGTCATTAGCATCATTAATAGGGAAGCATCCACATAGCACATGGTCCAAGCTACCTCAGCTCAGCTGTGCTAATCTAATGACCAGAAGTAATCAATTCAGCACTGACTGCATGTACTTAATACATGGTAGCCATAGTGCCTGGCCCTGGAGATACAAAGATAAATAAATACAGTTGGTCCTCAAATAGCAAACAATATATTGATGCCTTTGCTTGTCCCTTGGTTCTTCATCACTTGCATTTGTTCTTCTGTTAAGAGTAATTTGGTTGAGTTCTGTCTAGAGAAGAACAGCATTTAGGCAGAAACATTAGATGGAGATGCTCACAATATTCTAGTTCATGTTGGTCTCTCCCTCCCAAAGTCTTTAGTACAAATTGCTTTGTATCACTGACTCTGCTATATGATATAGCATTTTGTTATATTTCTTTATGATTAGATCTTTCAAGTTCTGTATATTTTTTGCACCAACTACATCTTTATCTGCTGTAAATTCTTTATGCAATAAACATACAGACAGATAAGATGGCAAGCTGCTTTGAAAGGAAAGAAAAATCCTGTCATATCACTGTTAAAAATGCATAGCATTCAACAAATGCCTTAAACTGAATTGAACTCAACTGAATTGATAAGTGTCTCCCAATATTCTTTGGTGTCTCAAAGTTACAAATCTATGAGGTTTGTGTTCCATTTGCTAAACACATAAATACATCCTTGAGGTTTTATAGTTTTCAACTGTGACTTTTCAATGTATTATGATAAATAGATGGTGAGCCAATCAAACTCTAAGTATCAGTTAAATCTAATGATAGAGCTAATCAATTAGAGAAAAGGAGAATATAAATGCAAAACACAAATTATAGGAAAATGCATAAACGTATTTTTAAAAATTTAGAGCAACTGAAAAAAAGCCTATGAAATATTTCTTTTTTTCACATGTTTGACTTTATTTACTTATTTTTATACTTTTAACTTTTAGTTTCAGAGGGTCCATGTGCAGGTTGATATATTGTGTGATGCTGATGTTTGGGGTACAATTGATCCCATCACCCAGATACTGAGCATAGTACCCAATAGCAACATTTCTTATATGTACTTTATTTAATAAATACATTTTTAAAAGTTTGAAATTATTCACTGGGATATTGTTTCAACATTTAGTTTTCTTATATCTTTAGCTTTTCCACTTCCACTGCCTTTTTTTCTCTCTGAATTTGAAAATGATTATCACTGTCATTCAAAAGCAAAACAAAATGATTACCTACAATGTCTAAATTCTCAGCTATGAGGGCACTTTCAGTTCTCAACGTATTGGTCCTCTCTTTGGCACTGACCTCTGCTGACTATGCCATATACCTGGAAACTTCCTACTTTCTTAGCTTCGATGACAACGTTTTCTCTAGTTCTTCTCCTACCTCACTAATTTTCCCTTTTAAGCCTTCTTTTAAATATTAGTTACTCTTAGAAGTCTTCTTTAAAATACATTGTTCTTCCTTTTGATGTGGTTTCTTAACTGATCTCATCAATTTCAATTAATTTAACTCTATTGCTTATATTCTAATTACAGTTACAACTCCAGCTATTTGACTTGACCTTGTTCTGCAGTTAACACAGGTACTTCCCACTCAACCCATCAAAAACAGCACTTTCCCCATTAGGCCTGCCTCTCCTCCAGCATACCTACATTCAATTAATGTTGCCAAACCAGAAACTTCTGGCTTCTTCCTGCCCTTACCTGGAACATCCAATCAGTTAATAAATCTTACTCATTACCTCCTTGTTGGTCTTCTCATACCCAGTTATATCCACCTAAAAATAAGGCCCTAGCCCTGGTGCATGCACACATCTTAAACCTTATTTTACATTACTCCAGCAACACTGAGCTCTATGTTTATGAAATGTGTTAGCACACGTAAAATACTTAGAGTTCCTGACACATGGTAAACACTCAATAAAAGTTAACTGCTATTGCTGTCAGAGGCATTTGAACTACAGAAACTCCATATTGAATAGGGGCTGGGTAAAACAAGGCTGAGACCTACTGGGCTGCATTCCCAGGTTAGGCATTCTAAGTCACAGGATGAGAAAGGAGGTTGGCACAAGATACAGGTCACAAAGACCTTGCTGATAAAACAGAATGTGGTAAAGAAGCCGGCCAATATACCCAAAGGACTATAAATCATTCTACGATAAAGACACATGCACACGTATGTTTATTGCGGCACTATTCACAATAGCAAGGACTTGGAACCAACGCAGATGTCCATCAGTGATAGACTGGATTAAGAAATTATGGCACATATACACCATGGAATACTATGCGGCCATAAAAAAGGATGAGTTCATGTCCTTTGCAGGGACATGGCTGAAGCTGGAAACCATCATTCTCACCAAACTATCACAAAATCAGAAAACCAGACACCGCATGTTCTCACTCATAAGAGGGAGTTGAACAATGAGAACACATGGACACAGGGAGAGGAACATCACACACTGGGGCCTGTCAGGGGGTGGGGGGCTAGGGGAGGGATAACATTAGGAGAAATACCTAATGTAGGTGACGGGTTGATGGGTGCAGCAAACCACCAGGATATGCGTATACCCAAGTAACAAAACTGTACGTTCTGCACATGTAAACCAGAACTTACAGTATAATAAAAAATAAATAAATACATAAAATTTAAAAAAATCCCGCCAGCCAAAACCCACCAAAACCAAGATGGTGACAAAAGTGACCTCTGGTCATCCTCACTGCTCATTATACACTAATTATAGTTATTAGCATGTTAAAAGACACCCTATATGGTCTAAAAAGGAGAGGAATCCTCAGTTCCAGGAATCGCCCTCCCTTTCTTCCCTTTCCCAGAAAAAGGGAAAAAGCAATGAAGCAAGAAGAGACCCGTGTGTCACTATGGGTGTGAACTAAAATCATCCGGACAAACAGGCCTCAGACCTGTAATAATCAAACTACCTGTGTAGCACGGTAGCACAGAGCCTGGTCTTTAGCAGGTATTTAATAAATATATACCTCTTGTTTAGCATATCATCAAGAAACAACCATAAAATAGCCAACCAGCAGCCGTCAGGGCTGCTCTGCCTACGGAGTAGCCATTCTTTTATTCCCATTCCTTTACTCTCTTAAAAATTTGCTTTCACTTTATGGACTCACCCTGAATTTTTTCTTGGTCCAAGAACTCTCTATTGGGGTCTGGATCAGGATCCCTTTCCGGGAACAATACTATTACTACTACTACTACTACTACCATTACCGCCACTTCTACTTCCTTTAGCTTATTATTAGTTCTCTATGCTTATCATGCTATTTTGCATTTTTGTGACTTTACTGACGCTATTCTCTCTCTATGGAATTACTGTTTTTGTCTAACTCCTCACTCTTAAAATTTTTTTTTAACTTTTGTTCATGTTCTTTCTCTTTCAGGAGACCATCTCTAATATCTCAGATCAGGCTAAGTGCTCTTATCTGGGGCTTCATTGTAAACCTGTGAAAACTTTGACTGATCTATCTATCTAGG
Organism: Homo sapiens; assembly: GCF_000001405.40. Lineage (NCBI taxonomy): Eukaryota > Metazoa > Chordata > Mammalia > Primates > Hominidae > Homo > Homo sapiens. Next base: position 78,668,996 of record NC_000014.9, on the reverse strand, counting down.
TAGACAGATAGATCTAGGTAGGTAGGTAGATAGATAGACAGACAGACAGACAGACAGACAGACAGATAGATAGATAGAGTTTAATATGTTGCATTATAATTATCAAGTTTTGCCTGCCATTTAACTATAGCAAGAGTCAGCAAACTAACCCTCTGGGGCCAATTCAATTCACTTCCTGCTCTTCTAAATAAAGTTTTACTAGAACACAGACACACTTATTTGTTTATACAGTATCTATGACTGCTCGCATGCTCAATGACAGTTTGATAGTCGTGATAGAGACCATATGGCTCATTAAACCAAAACTACTTACTGTCTGGTCCAGAGAGTCTCAGCTTCGGCACTGTTGAGACCCAGGACTGGATAATTCCTTGTCACCGAAGGGCTGTCCTGTGCATTGTAGGCCTACAGTGCACCAACAATCTTGGCCTCTGCCCACACCAGCAGCATCTTCCCTTCAATATCCCTTTACTCCCCTCCAACCACTCCTCCACCCTAGTTTCAACAACTAAAAGAGTCTCCAGATATTGTCAAATATTTCTTGGGGTCAAACTTGTCTCCACTTGAGAAGCCACTAACCTGGCCCTTTATAGAAAATGCTGTCAACCCCTGAACTATAAGATCTTCCAGGAAAGAAACTGTCCAGTTCACTTTGCATTCCAAACACCATACCTAAAATATAATAATAGAAGCTCATTAAATCAATCATTTAAAGATAATTGAAAGATCATAACACACTGCAAAGCAATTTAAACTTCATAAGCATTTTAGACCTCAATGGGACACTGGTGATCATCAAGCAATACCCAATTTTACAGCTAAGTTTTGCTTCCTTAAGCATTTTAAACATCATCCATAAGAACTGTTACATTAATATCTATGAAGAAAAGTTACTCTAAGAAAGATAATTTGGTCAGGCGCGGTGGCTCACGCCTGTAATCCCAACACTTTGGGAGACCGAGGTGGGTGCATCACCTGAGGTCAGAAGTTCAAGACCTGCCTGGTCAACAGGGTGAAATCCCGTCTCTACCAAATATACAAAAAAATTAGCTGGGCGTGGTGGCGGGCGCTTGTAATCCCAGCTACTCGGGAGGCAGAGGCAGGAGAATCACCTGAACCTGGGAGGCAGAGGTTGCAGTGAGCTGATATCACACCATTGCTCTCCAGCCTGGGCAACAAGAGCAAAACTTCATCTCAGAAAAAAAAAAGATAATCTATCACAATCTCATTTGATTGCCAGGAATTTTAAAAATGTGAAATCACTGCATTCATATTTCACATATGCACACATATTTATCCATGAGTGAGTTTTTTTTCCTATGTCTGTGAAGAAGTAATTATTCTCCTTTGGCAGATGGTCTCCTTTGACCACATTTCAATTGTGGTCAAAATGTAATAAGGAGAAACAGCAACTTTCTTACAGTCAGTCAAGACATTCATTTGGGGGATATAAATTCTTTTCCACTGTCTTTAATAATTTGATATTATATACAGCATTGCTGTAACTACAAAAACTCTGTTTTCAAAGGGATTGTATGCAAGCCAGAAAAGCTAACAAATGGCTATGGGGTATTGTAAGGACCAACTGAATGACAAAATAGCTAGTATTTCTTGAGTACTCACTACGAAACAGATTCAGCTAAAGGCTTTATTGCATCATCTCATTTGATCCTCATAAGAAATCTCTGAGGTAAGTGCTATTAAGATACCAGTTTTATAGATAAATAAACTGAGTTTCAGAGACACTAACTAACTTGTCCAAGGCACATAGGTAGTAAGTAGAAAAACAAAAATTTCAACCTGGAAGTCTACCTCCTAAATCTGAGCTGAAACACCCTATATTATATTAAGTGTGCTTGGAATTCAGAAGTGAGAAAAGACCACTGTTAACCCAGTGATCAGTCAAGCAGGTGACCATGAGCTAGGTTCTAGAAGAAAGGGTAAGCATCAGACAGAAAAGAGAAAGGGAGAAATTCTTGGCTAGAAGAACCAAATAAACAAGTTATAGAAGAAAGAACTTAAAACATACATTTAGAGTAATAGGAAAAGACTACTCTGGTTAAATTTAGGGAGGAACTATGAGGAGGTGGCACCCAAGTTGAAGACAAACTGCAGAAGGCCTTGAGTGGGAGGCTGAAGAAGACATGCTTTGCTGGGCACTGGATGTTTCCAAAGAATGGCACAAAGAGCAAAACGGGGCAGAATGCAGCATGGAAAGAAAGCAGAGAGAACAGAGGTGGAAAGACTCATCATGACACCATGATAGGCGAAGTACTATGGGGGCAGAGGGAGAGGCAGTAGTGAAAGGACCAGGAAGCAGAGGACAGAGATGAGTCAGAAATATACAGGGCATTGCCAAGGGAATTTTGTGTTTGATTAAATGAGGGCAAAAAGGAAGAAGGGGAATGAGAAAGAAAGATCACATCTCACTTTGAGGTTTCTAACTCGAGTGAATAGGTAATGACAGTATGAGCTGTTCTAAACCTATTGAATTCTACATAACCACGCCCCATTCTTCTCACATTTAGCACACTGCACCCACCCTGGCTTCTAGAAGTTATGGGTCATCCAATGCTGCTTTTCTTATCTTTCCTTTTTCAAACCTTATAACCATTTTGTTTTGGCTTTTTCCCTACCGTCTCCTGGAAAGAGGCATTTTTTATCTTCCTGAGCTTAATAAAGTGCAGGTCAAGAGAGGGGTTTTATGAAAGGATAGACTAACACTTGTTTTTAACTCTGAGAAGAAGAAACAAATAGGCAAATATCAAAGGTGCAAGAGAAAAGTTCTAGAGATCTGTGTACAACCGTGTGAATATAGTCAAAAATACTGTAGCATGCCCTTAAAATTGTGTTAAGGGAGTAGATTTTGGGATATGTGTTTTTTTACCACAATTTTTAAAAGAAAAAATATATAGATATATACTGCAAGAAAGAATGAGAATAACTGAGTAATTCGGAAGTTGAAAGGGAGAGAAGGAGATGCTGACTGAGCACAGTAACATGTGAGCTTACAAAGATAGAGGGACACCTCACTTTCGAGGATAAAGAAAAAGAGAAAATCAACCTAGATATGGGATAAAAGGAAAATGAAGACTCTGAGGCAGAGATAAGCTTGATAAATTGACATTGCCTAGCCTGGATCTTTTCAGAAAAGCAACATATCCAGCCCTAGATATTTCTTTCCTCTCACCACCTCTCTCACTGAGCCATGGCCACCATCGCCTCCTGGACTTTTCTTGAATGTGCCAAGCTTTCCTTGCTTTAGGTCCTTTTTGTCCTAGTAGCTTCCTTGGATTGGAATGGCCTCTCCCCAAGGTTTTGTGTGTGTAACTGAGTGCTACTTTCATCTCAGGTCTCAATTATTGCATCCTCAAAGAGTCCTGCCCTGACCACTCAGGCTCCTGGAGACCAACTCACTATCTCATTGATTCAGTTTGGCTGTGTCCCCACCCAAGTCTCACCTTGAATTGTAGTTCCCATAATCCCCACGTGTCATGAGAGGAACCCGGTGGGAGGTAATTGAATCATGACGGTGGTTACCCTTATGCTGTTCTCATGATACTAAGTAAGTTCTCACAAGATCTGATGGTTTTATAAGGGGCTTTTTCCCTCCTTTGCTTGGCACTTCTCCTTGCTGCTGCCATGTTAAGAAGGACATGTTTGCTTCCCCTTCCACCACGATGGTAAGTTTCCTGAGGCCTCCTCAGCCATGCTGAATTGTGAGTCAATGAAACCTGTTTCCTTTATAAATTACCCAGTCTCAGGTATATCTTTATTAGCAGTGTGAGAATGGACTAATACACCCATTATTCTCTTTCATTTCCTTCATGCCACTTATCATTATCTGAAAGTATCTGAATTATCTGTTTTGCATTTATTCTTAGTCTCCTTCAACCGTAATGTGAATTCCATAGGGTCATAGACTTTATACATGCTGTCATTCACCACACACTCCCACTCTTTGAACAGATTTTATGACAGAGTAGGCATTCCATGAATATTTACTGCATTCATGAATAAGTAAATGAGTGGCATGCTGTTGACAAAATGAATATAAGCAGAAATTGGAACTTTGGAACAATAATTCTATCACTGATGTTCACAAATACTTATTAATTTATTGAAGAATATTTCCCATCTATTCATGTGTCAGGACCTATGTTTAACTTCAGAGGGAATATGCAATCTACATAAATCTTTGTTCTTGTCTCTTAGAAGCTCAGTCTATTGAGGAAACATATGAACACAGTGCATGTTAAAGTGCAATGTGATGAGGACTATAATAACAATTGCAATGCATTGAAGTTTTGAACTGAGAGCTATAGGAGCATATAATAAAGTACTTCTAACTTAAGCAGGGTAAAACAAGAAAACAATTCCACTAAAGTGCTAAGGATCCTAGAGTTCAGAGTCTGACATGCAAATGTAGAGGGTTAAAGAGTAACCATGAAGTAGGGGACATCAGAAATATGTACCATTCTCCCAAGAACTTTTTCATTGAAAGTGGGGAATGAGCTTAGGTGTAAATTGAGCAGGAGACAGTATCAAAGAAGTGATTTTGAGTATGTCTCTAGCTGAAGGGATGGAGCAGAGGAGAATGGGAGATCGAAGATTAAGAGAGGGAATCTTTAAAGGGGCTAAATCTCAAAAGAGGCAAGAGAGGAGGGGAAAGTTCATTCTGTAAGATGAGGGGAAGAAGGTAGCAATGAGAATCTTTGAAGGTAAGTCTTAAGGTGGAGAGAGAGAAGCTTAGCAAGCATTACCTGAACAATTTCTATTTTCCCTACAAAGTATGAGATAGAACATCTGCTGATATTGGGTGGTGAGGGAAAAGCTAAGGGAGAGGGAAGGAGGAGAATTTTATTGGTTGATAATTGGTGTGCAGTGTTGCTGCCCTAAGCTGCATCTTCACTGATTTGAGAAGTGAAAAATGTGTCCTTGTATCTCTCTTGAAATCTATGCAGGAACTATTTGTGGCACACTCTCCACATGAGGAACAGAACACAAGGTTACAAAAGCACCGCAACACTAATGGAATAGTCGTTTCTGCATTTGCAAAACAATTTTTGAAAACATAAGCTAATTAATTAGCTCAATGATTGCTTTATCCCTGTAGGTATATGTGTACAAGGACTAGTGTTTTTTTAATCTCCTTTGAGGCTTTCAAAGACACAAGAGATTTTGTCTCAGTAGGAATGTTGTGGTAGATTACATTTGCTGTAAATAAGTGACATTTTTAGAAAGCAATGAGTTCCACTGAATTTATCTTGACGAGCAAAAAAGAAAAAAAAATGCAAAGCTAAGTAAGTGATTCCCAAAATCAGACTGAAAATTCATAATAAGTCTAAATAGTAGCTGCTCCTTATTTGGGTGTTTTGAAGGCATTAAAGGCAAATAGCTCCAACTTCATGGAAAATATTAGGCTGGAACAAAAAGAAACAATGTGCTGCCCATCTCAAGACGAAACTATTGCACTGCTTGGCATTTATACTAAGAGCAGCATCTTCCCTCTCAGGTACCATAATGAAAATCATTCCTCCGTTAGCAGGTTGAGCAATATCAATTTGCCCAAAGTGGGAAATCAAGCAAAAACTGCCTTCCTCTCAGAACAATCAATGGCAAGGTGAAAGAAATAGGTAATTGTATCTAGTCTCCCAACAGAACATTTTTGCCTGATTAAATGACCTTTCCTATGAAGTAGAGACTCTAAGCGGTAGTGAGAGACAATTCCTTACAGTAAGTTTAAACACAGAATCACCAACCTTTTCCAGAGGAGCTTCCTTTTCTTCGTCACTAACTCTTATGACTGAATTGGTAGAAAGGGCAGCAAAATCAGGATGTTGACAGTATTTACATCTCAACTCCAACACTTAGAATGATGTAAGTGGGAAAGACACTCGCTCTCTTTAAATTCAAGTTAGTAATGATCATAGAATCCAGCTCATAAGCTTTTTTGTGAGAACTAAATTAGGAAATAAGTAGGGAATAAGTCTGAAGTACATAGCACCATGTAGACACACATTTCACATGTGTTCACATTAAGTGTTCAATAATTGCTAGTCTTTATTGTTGCTGCTATGATTATAATTGCTGTGGTTGTAACGGTTTTCGAGATGATCAAGTAAAGGACTGAGTAAAGATAAATTCTTGTAAGTGAGTAATAGGTGATGATAGTGGCTGGGAACCTCAACTCTTACCACAAGGGCAACCCAATAAATGTTTGTGGGACATGTAAAGCCAACTGATTTGGAGATTAATGAGGAAAGTCTTCCACATGATGAACCTGAGCTAATCAGTTAGCCTTATTCTTTCTTTGCAGATAGGTCATTCATCGTAGAACTATAGATCTATCATATAAAATCAATCTATCTATAGATCTATCTATAAAATCAAAACCACTCATATGATTCCAGAATCCCCTCGATAACCTCAGCAAAATGGTTGCCCAGTCTCTACTTGGATGCCTTGAGTGTTGGAGAACTCATTACTTTGAAGGCAGTTTTGGACAGCTCTTACTGAAAGTTCTTCCTTATGTTAAGTACCCAGCTTCCACTCACTAGACTTAGTTTCTCTTCTTAAGGATATATGGGCCACATTTTCTTCCACTTCCATAGGACAGTCCTTCATGTATGAAGACGACTCTCAAACCTTGGGCACAGGCATCTTCACTTTCTCAGGTTAAATGACCCTGGTTCTATTAGTTAAGCCTTCTTAACGTTGTTAGGATCTTGAATGCCTTAGTTTTTTGGGTATTTTTTTTTTTACAGCTCAGCTCTAAAGATATTCTAATCTGTCAATTAGTTGTCATGTTAAAAGCTTATTCTGGGCCTGGCGCAGTGGCTTATGCCTGTAATCCCAGCACTTTGGGAGGCCGAGGTGGATGGATCGCTTGAAGGAGTTTGAGATGAGCCTGGCCAACATGGTGAAACCCCTTCTCTACTAAAAATACAAAAATTAGCTGGGTGTGGTGGCACATGCCTGTAATCCCAGCTACTTCGGAGACTGAGGCATGAGAATTGGTGGAGGGTGCAGTGAGCCGAGATTGCACCACTGCACTCCAGCCTGGACGACAGAGCAAGACACTGTCTCAGAAAAAAAAAAAAAAACTGTCTCAGAAAAAAAATAAATAACATTTGCTGAACATTTTCTACATGTCAGCTATTTTACATGCATGATCTCAATACAACAGCCCTATCAAGTAGGTATAATTATTGTTCCCATTTAATAAGTAACAGAAGGTTAGGTATGTTATCCAGCATCATACAGCTACTGGGAGTAGAGTTAGGCTTTGCAGCCAGAAACTCTAACTCCAGAGCCTGCTTTCTTAACCAATAAATTATACTGCAGAACTGTTACCTCCTTTGTTGCACAGGTCAGACCTCTATTAATTCAACCTCAGATAACACAGATGCACAATTTCTACCATTTTCTGTCCCTGCCATCCACAAAGTTAACAAGCCATGTTCTCTTATGTCTCTTCAAGTCCTTAATATAAGACAGAGCTTTGTGCCATCTTACAAAAACTTTCATATAGGCCAAAAAAATCCACTTAATCAGGGCCCATTGGTATTTTAATAGCTTGATAGCTCTTGCATCTAAACCCTATTGCTCATCTTATTAATGAGAATATCACAAAATGTGTCTTCAAAAACTTTGCTGCTATTTAGCTAGATGAGGTCCATAGTACTTTTCTGAATCATCGGTAATACTACTGAATGAGTATGTGAATTTGGTTGATATGATATAGCTTTTTCTTAGTGCTCTTAATTAGTGATGGCAGTTATATTGATCACTCTTTTCTCTGCTATGGGCTCATACATTCTGTTAATATTGCACTCCAAAATGTTATCCAGATTTCAGTTCAACTCATAAGTTCATTGTTTGCATTATCTACATTTTTCAATTGTCTAGTCTTTAGGAACCTTCTTTATTCACTAGCGTTCCTCAAAAACCACCAACTAGGTTTCAAAAATTGTATTTACAAATTCTCTCTGTATCCTGGGATAGCATTCATCTGAGGCAGGAAATTTGAATTAATACAGAGCAAATTATCTGATTTCTAAGATCCTCCAGTATTACATTTCCTACTTTTGTCTGTCTTTCCCTGTCCAAGGACCTATCTTTTTGTTAGCAAAAAACAGGAGTAAAATAGGAACATGAGGAATTCTGCTACATCACCTAGGGCTTCCTGCTGCAAATGATAGAAAATAGAGCCACAACAGGTTTAGGCAACAGAGGTACATTATTCAACCATAAGTGGAAATTAAGGGGTAGTCTAATTTGAAAACTGTTTAAACCAGGGCCTTCAAAAATGTCACTAAGGCCTAGTTTCTTCCCATCTTTTGGCTCTGATTTTCTCTATCCTGGCTTCCTTTTTGGTCACTATGGTGGCAAGATAGTGGCCAGAAGCTTAGTTTAACACCACTCCAAGTTCTAGCCCAAAGCAGGAGAGAGCTGTTTCCCTACAACATATAGACAAAACTTCTGAGCCTGTATGTTATGGATCCAAATTGGTTTAGGAGCTCACCTATGAAGAAAGAAACCATGACCAGGTGAATAGGAGTCTCTAATTAGGAGTCTCTAATTGATTTAGGGATCACATGCTCACTAACGGAGCTGGGAGTGGAGCAGGTGCCACTGAATCATTGGATTGAGAATGAGGGGAATAAAAATCAAGAAACATGTATCAGATGAAGGCAGAATGAATACCCAGTTGCCAAATATATATATATATATATATATAAATCTACTTCTTCATCAACAACCCATCAACTGTAAGCAGCAAATCCTTCTTTAGTAATTTTATTGTGGCACTAACTGAAGAACTACTCTCTGTCTGTCACAGCACCGAAACACCAAAGATCTTTGAGACCTCAGTGCTCCTCACTCTTCCTTAGGCCCATACCACTTTTTTACAGCCACGCTTGGCTAAATGTTCACACCTGGTTCCTACTGAAATAAGCCTCAAATGTATCCCTGTCCCCAGTAGCTGAGGGTTTCGCTCCTTCTTCCTCTGTGCCTCTGTATGTTATGGGTCCAAACTGCATTAGGAGTCCACCTATAAAGAAAACAACCACAGCCAGGGGAATGGGAATCTCTAATCGACTGACATTGCCAATTTCTCTCTTTCTTTCTCTCTCTCTTTCCTGCCCACTTCAATTCCTTGTAATCCAGAAAGTCATCTCTTTTCCAGAAGATTCAATTTATCCTCTTTACAAACATTTCTTTCTGAAATTGAATCACCCGACATTGCCAATATTTGACTTTTTTTTTTTTTTTTTTGTCCTCACACACAAAAAATGGCAGTTTTGTTTTCTGAGACAGAGTCTCGCTCTGTTGCCCAGACTAGAGTGCAGTGGCACCATCTTGGCTCACTGCAGCCTCAACCTCCCGGGTCCAAGTGATCCTCCCACCTCCCTCCAAAATACCTGGGACCACAGGCGTGTGCCACCATGCCCAGCTAAATTTTTTTATGTTTTTTGTACACACACAGTCTCCTTAAGTTTACCAGGCTGGTCTCCAACTCCTGGACTCAAGCAATCCTCCCACCTCAGCCTCCTAAAGTGCTAAAATTATGGGCGTGAACTACCATGCCCAGCCAAAAATGGCCATCTTTTTTTTATGGTCAACCCATAAAAAAGCTCTATAATTTACTAGAGCTGCCATAACAAAATACCACAGACTGGTTGACTTTACCGAAACTTATTTTCTCACACTCCAGGAGGCTAGAAGTCCAAGTTCAAGGTTTCAGCAAGGTTGGTTTCTTCTGAAGCCTCTGTTCTTAGCTTGTAGATGGCTATCTTCTCCCTCTGTCTTCACATGGTCTTTCCTTTGTATATCCATGTCCTTATCACTCCTTCTTATAACGACACCAATCATATTGTTTGAGGGCCTATCCATATGACCTCATTTGATCTCAATTACTTCTTAAAAAGCCCTATCTTCAAAAACAGTCACAAACTAAAGGTTAGAACTTCAACATATGAATTTGCAGAGGACATCACTCAGCCCATGACAAGCCAATAGTTAGCTCCTGAGATGCCGTAATTGCTTTTTGTTTTCTTCTTCTGCCACGTTCCTCCATTTCCTCTGATTTGCATCTTCACTTCTTTCCACCTTGCTCAACTCTTATTTCTTCTGGTCACCTTTTGTGTTGGTTCTCCCATTCTGTCAAGACGCTCTTATCTCCAAACCCACAGAGTGCTTTTCCGTACATCTTCCTTAATGGAATAAAGATGTACAGCAAGATGTTTACCTTGCTACCCAAAGCAATAATGTGTGTTCTATGCTACATTTACAAGAAGGTCTCTACAGTAGTGTGCATTTGGATTAGCAGGGATTACTATCCTCATTTTACAGATCAAGACAAGGATATCCAGAGAAGTTGTATAATTTTCTAATTAACATTAGAACTGAACCCAGTATCAGGCCTTTTTAATTAAACTACATTGGACTCTCCTAACTTCTGCAGGTTTTTAATTGCAGAAATGGTGAAGAGCAGTAAGTGGTTCTTTGGCCTGAACTAATTGATTTTGTTTCAATTAATAACATAAATAACAACTTCATTAACCTTTGTATAGTGTTTTGTATTTTATAAAACACCTCCATTTGTCTAATCCCATTTGCTCCCTACATAAAAATACATGAAATCAGTATTAGTCTCTGTCTTTATAGATGAAGAAACCGAGGCTCAGAACAGTCATGCGGCTTGCTAAAAGCCATGCAACTAGCAAGGAATGAGTCTAGGCAAGACTCAAACCCTGGGCTTGTGCTGCTGAAGCCCACCCTCTTCTCATGTCTCATGTTGATTCTAAAAGCCTCACTTGGGTTTTACTAGCCCTACGCTGCACAGTAGTCTTCATGACAGGAAAAAGGAATATTTAGGCCCAAAGCTATGACCTAAATTCACCTGCTTATGGACAGAGACATTATCACCACCTGAGAAATCAGGAAGGCTACCAAAACAACAGCTTGGGAAACAAACGAATTAGAGAAAAACGGAACGGAGATGGGGAAGAGGGAGGAAAATGAGTAAGGAAGAAAGAGGACAACCCAAAAGAAAATCCAGAGAAGAAATTAAGTGATAGCATGAGAGATAGCAACAAGAGACAGCAAGCAAGACAGGGTAAAATAAAATGAGTATTTTTTTTAAAGAAGAAAAAAAGCAACAACAAACACATTATCCCAAAGCCCGCAGGTGCCAGCAATTCAAATAAACGTATAGCAATTAACAGAATTAACACAGCCTTAAATAGCTTGGCTCACCAGATGTGGACGCCTATCAGGGTTCTATAAAATGTAAAGTTATTACAGATTAAGCCATTAATCATCTGTTCAGAGACTATCTCTGGCTGCAAAACTCCATTCGGTTTTAAATGGCTAATAATCACAAAGGGATGTGGAATGTAATGTGCACAATGATGTTCTATCCAATCCTTTTTCCTTTAAATATGTGTTCTATTCTCCCAATTCTCCTGCTTTTCCTTCCTCCCCATTAGAGATGCCATGAGAAAAGAGAGATGAGAGAGTCCAGTCTGTCCCAGAGGTCTCAGTGGCACTTTCGCTTCTCCACTTGGGAAAATGGAGGAGTGTCAGATTGAGGAGAAAAGAGGATGGTGTGGAAATAACCAAATCAAACTACACAGAAGGTCCAACACGTGGGAGGAAACTGTGATGGGCTTGAGTAGCCTGATGGGGACCCTACTCATGTAACTCAGTCTTGGCTTGGCCTTCCTGTATTTCATTTGTCATTGAACAGCTCAGTAATGCCAAGGACAGAGGAAAAGAGAAATGCATGTCCTCTCAGGGAGGGTTTTTGGAAACTGAAATGGGAGTCAGAAGGAAGCAGTTGTCTGCAGTAATGTTAAAATTCAGAGAGGCAGGCGCCAATCTAATGCCGAAGCTCAGGGGACCACCTTTTCTTTTTTTTTTTTTTTTTTTTTTTTTTTTTGAGACGGAGTCTCACTCTGTCGCCCAGGCTGGAGTGCAGTGGTGCGATCTCGGCTCACTGCAAGCTGCCCCTCCCGGGTTCACACCGTTCTCCTGCCTCAGCCTCTCAAGTAGCTGGGACTACAGGTGCCCGCCACCACGCCCAGCTAATTTTGATTTTGTATTTTTAGTAGAGATGGGGTTTCACCGTGTCAGCCAGGACGGTATCAATCTCCCGACCTCGTGATCCGCCCACCTTGGCCTCCCAAAGTTCTGGGATTACAGGCGTAAGCCACCGCACTCGGCCGAGGGACCACCATTTCTATCCCTGATCTTCAACTTCCTAGGACAAAAACATACATCAGGGGAAAGTGGTAGATGAATTAACATTACTCCTCAAAGAATGAAGGCCTGATGGGTAAGATGCCAATCTGACCATGTTCTGCTGCATAAGGTCCTTCAATGGCTCCCCCGTTACCTAGAGAACAAAGTCCAAGGGTATAGCATGAAATAAAGGCCTCTATGAAATGGTCCCTACCTAACCGCAGCTACCAGTCCAAAGCTCCCAGTCTTATAATTTGGGCCTTGAAATTAGCAAGCTGTTTGTAAGTTCTTCACCCAGACACCAGAACATGCTCTACCTCCATGCCTTTGCTCACCCTGCCCCTCATCCTGGAGCACCTCTTTCCCCATGCTTCCATGCTCACTTCTACTTGGCTTCAAGCACCTCACCTTGGGATGCTCCCTGAACCCCAGGATGTATTAGGTCCTTCTCCTCAGCAGCCACATTGTAACTAAGAATGCCTCATGTTGTGCATTAACTGCTATTTATTGCATTTATGCGTGTGTCTGCCTCTCCCCACTAATGTGAGTTCCTCTAAAGCAGGAAACATGTTTGACTCATATTTGTATTTTAGCACAGTCCTTGGCATATTATAGGTTTGGGGGATATATTGTTTGCTATGCACTGAATGTTTGTGTTCTCCAAAGTTCATTTATGGAAATTCTAACCCACAATGTGACAGTTTTAGGAGGTGGGGCCTCTGGGAGGTCATGAAGGTCAGGTCATGAAGGTCCCTCATGAGTGGGATTGGTGCCCTTATAAAAGGGACCCTAGAGAACTCTTATCCTCTTTTTTCCATGTGAGAACACAATAAGAAAACAGCAATTTGCAACCCAGAAGAGGGCCCTCACCAGAACCTGACCAGGCTGGCACACTGTTCTTAGACTTCCAGCCTCCAGAACAGTGACAAATAAATTTCTGTTGTTTATAAGCCACTCAGCCTATGATACTTTTTAATAGCTGTCTGGACTTACACATTGCTCATCTAAACTCCACCAGATTTCAGAGCTCCATGAGGTTATCATATTCATTTATTTATTTATTCCAGACATACTTATTGAGTGCATTTTTTTTAATGTCAGGGTCCACTCTAGGTGCTGGGGAAATATTTGTAAGCAAATAGGACCTCTGTTCTCATGGAATTCACATTTTAATAAAGGAAAACATAGTGTCAAATAAATGACCAAAGGCAAAAAACAAAGTCATCATTGAGGGCAGGTGGGATGAGTTATCCCTATTTTTGCATTATGATAGAATTTATGTAGGGCAAACCTCAGAATGATGGGGTTTTTTTTCCTGACAATGATTTGCTAATATGAGAAATATAGAGATTCCATGTGTTAATGGATATTCACTTACACTTACATTTCTATTTGTAAACTATTTTATACAATGCAATATATAATCCTTAATAATTATTATAAGCAAAAACATTGTATTTTGCAATGCTGTATGATTTCACTTTTATGTACATCATTTCATTTTTTTCTTAAGAATGCAACAGAAGTTTTATTATCTCCTTGTTATGGGTTAGAAAACTGAGACTGGAGTAAGATCAGTGGTCTTATTATATAGCCAGTGATAAAGCTAGCATTCTTAAGCAGATTTTCTGATCTGAAGCCCAGTATTCTTTTCATTATACTATGATGTCTCCCTCATAGCCTTTTCTAACCCATTTTTCATAGAGGAACTTCCAATCATTCCTCTTAGCCTTGCTGAGGCTTTTAATATAATCTTTTTCTCATATCTGATAGCTCAGGGGGAGGCAGAGAAGATTCTTGAAAGATTCAACCACTGCCATGTCAAGATGTTCTTTAGTCATCCCAGGAAAGTCAAGTGGTCAATAGTACCTAAAAGCATTCATTTAGGAAAGATATTTATTAATGTACAATCATGTGATTTCACTCAGCAAATATTGACTGAGAGCCACTAAGTGCCAAGAACCATTCTAGGAGCTGGGGATACAACAAGAACAAACATGAGACAGACACACTAAAATGTGAAAACATGAAAAGGAACAAGATGCTGACTTCATGATAGTTAAGTGGACACAAACTGCATATTGATAACTAAGGTGTGTAGAGAACCATCATAGTTTGACGACAATGTGGACGCTTTGTTGTGGCTTTTACACTGGTATGAAGTTAGGAAGTACGCACACAAGTAATATCCAGTCCCTTTGGCACAATCACGGAGCCAGAACTTAGCTTTTAGGTGTGAAGTAACTACAGTCCCAAAGACAAAACCTATTTTGTGCCACACACAAAGAAATATTGATGATCTGGAGCAGAAATTGCATAGGCCCTTTGCCATGTCCCTAATTTGAAGAAAATTACACATAAAATCACCTTGTTTCATTTAGGACAACTTAAAGCCACAAATGGCAAGAGAAGATTTTTTTAAGGCAGCAAGAGGAAAAGGAAGGGGAAGAAGAGATTGTGAAATAATTAAAGACTGTTCTATGGTTTAAGTGGGTGAGTGGGGTTTATCAGGTAGCTGAATCCTAACATAGCCTTTGCTGTTTACTGATTTATCAAAAACAAATACCAAGAACAAGAGAAGTATCTCCATAGACCTGCCCACAGAAAAGTGAAGTGTAATTATTAAATGCAAAGAAATAATATGCCAGCACTACGTTAGACTCAAAGTGATCTGTTCAAAGTACTCAGACAAATAAGAAGACTTCCGAGTCCCTTAGAAAGACTATCACGCTGTACAGGGAAAACAGACGGGGCAGGAGTTTATCAAGTTCTAGCTTTGCCTATCATTTCCGTTAGTGTTTTGAACTTTCCTTTTTCTAACTTGGTCTGAATTTAAATGCATATTTGTGCTGCTAGCTAAGATAAGGATATATTGACATCACTGATTATAGTTATTTCTATTATTGACACTGTTTTTCAGAACTGCCTTTACCTTTTAAGCTATTCAGAATGATTCTGACAGACTTTTGAAGCTTTCTGCTCTCTATCTGGGCAGCAAAAATGTGTGTGTGTGTGTGTGTGTGTGTGTGTGTGTATTTTATTTTCTTTTGTTTCCACATGGATAAAGTCATCAGAGACACCTTTGTGTTTTTATGAGACTTGTTTCAAAATTTTCAGGGCATCCTTCCTGATTAATAGATAGAAGATTCATGGTTGGGAAATTGCTCCATTGTCTCTAAGTATATAATGGAGAGGTAGCTCAATATAATTGTGTGTAGGAGAAAATTAATCCTAAAGGCAAGACCTAAATCCTGTCCTGGAGAGACTCCATGCTCAGGACTGTTGCACTACAAAACTGAATGAGCACTCCACAGCAACCAATGCCTCATTCATTCCTGAGCCATGTCCTTGGTAACAAGAATGTTGCAGTCTTTTTCTGATGAGAGTGCAATTCCAATGTAGTGTGATTTAACAGTGTTTAAGAGTCTTTCAGGGTTCACTAGACAGTGCATAGTCTATACCTTTATTCTATCCAAATAGGAGTAAATCCCAGTGAGGAAGGGCTCTATGCCTACCATAATTCCATCAGAAATGACGATGAAATCTCTGAAGCCAGCAGAAGCCTAGGTAACATCCTGCAGAGAGATAATAGCACTCTTTGGGTGCTCCTCTTATTTTGTCCTACAGGCTGAGAACAATACAAAGCTACAATTGGATTTTCTCTCCTTTATTATGTCTCTCTTTTCTACCCCTTCCTCTCAATTCGCACATGATTTATTACAACAAGGACTGCCTCAAATGTCACTCCTTCTCTAAAACTGACTTCCACCTAAAATTTATGTTTCCTCTACTCAATTAGAGCATTTAGTATGTGCCACTGAACACATGTACTCCTATGCTATACTTATTCACTCACTGATCTCATCTCCCTTCCTACAAGGCAAAGCCTTGGAGCATGGAGATCATGGCTTAAAAAGAGCCACCAAATTTAGTTACAGCACAAAAAAGGTACTCAATGATTATCAGATAAATAGACAAACAAATCCTTATTATGCATCTACTATGTGCCATGCCTAACAGACACAATTCCTGCCTGGACAAGGCTCACAGGGCAGTGGCATGAATGAATGCATGGACAGTGCCATCTCATATACAAATGATGTTCAACAAATTTCAAATAACCATAGTAAGAATAAAACATATGCCCCAAGAGGAGACTCATAAGATGTCACAAGGGATTGTTATCTACAAGAAGGAACACTGTTTGCTTCTCAAGTAACATCCCCAGGGAGATGGTATAGATATCTTCGGCAATGAAGCTTAGCTTAAAATGTGCAGTGCACTGCTTTGATGCCACAGTGTTCTGAAAGAGCTCTACCAAATTTAGTCTGATTCTTTTTGCCTCAACAATTGACCTTAGAGGTTGAACTTACACTTGGCTGAAGCTCCTTTGCTCTCAGAAAGAGGTCTCAATACATCAGCTACAATGGTAATAAACAAGTAGTGGCAAAGTCCCACTGTTTTTTCACAGCTACTAGCTCTCAGGGAAGAAGAAGAAGCAAAGGAAAAAACCAGTCTTCTGAGCCTTAATGTCACATTATAAGAATTTTCTTCCGTCTCAACTATGAGACCCTTGGGAACACCAGGCTTAGTGAAGGTAAAATAATACATATGTTATATTTTAGACAGGGTACACAACAACAGATTGAGCCACTTTTAGCTAGAGCTTTCCTATTTGCCAGGTCAAAATCACAAAATCAAACTTTGCACTCATCTAGTTCCTTGTGATTTCAATGGCCTTTCACCTGTGTGACTGCATTTAATTTATAAACACAGCCATCTGTGGGATAAGAGCTTCCATTTGTTAGATGAGGAAATAGAACTACAGGGTACTTGACATGGTTTGGCTGTGTCCCCACCCAAATTTCATCTTGAATTGTAGCTCCCACAATTCCCACATGTCGTGGGAGGGAGCCAGTGGGAGGAAGCCAGTGGGAGGTAATTAAATCATGGGGTCAGGTCTTTCCCATGCTGTTCTCATGATAGTGAATAAGTCTCATAAGATCTGATGGTTTTATTAAAGAGGAGTTCCTCTGCACAAGTTTTTCTTCCCTGCCACCATGTAAGATGTGACTTGCTCCTCCTTGCCTTCTGCCATGATTGTGAGACCTCCCCAGATATGTGGAACTGTAAATCAATTAAACCTCTTTTCTTTATAAATTACCCAGTCTTGGGTATGTCTTTATCAGCAGCATGCAAACAGACTAATACAGTACTAAAGTGACAAACCCCAAGTCATGCAACCAGCTTAAGCGGGAATGAAAACGTAGGACACCTACTTCCAAGTTCAAGGTTGTTTCTGCTGCAATCTATCATCTCATAGATTTGAGGACAGATCCAGTCATTGATTTAGACATGTCATTTGTTTATAAATGAAACAATCACATGGTGCATTAAATAGAATTGGGTGAACTTTACCTCTTTAAGGCAGCCCATGAAGTTGTTGCTGACAGGGGAGCCAGGCAAGTCAGCGGTACTTGGGCTTCCTCCTACATAGAAGAAGTCGTCCGAGCCCAGCATGGTATAGTCCTCTTGAGTGTAGCCCGTCGTGGTAAGAATGCCATCCACAGAGATTGTCACCTGGTGGAGGGACATAGGGACAAAAAAAATCCCAACAATGACCTTACGATCCTATCATAACCCAGTGGCTTCCCCTACTTGTGGCATCACTTTCATTAAGATTTTCATGAGATATACTTTCTAATTTGATTTGATTTTGGTATGTGCAGCCAAGTTCCATTTTCTGGTCTGCCTCCCTGGGTCTCAAGCCTTCAGTATTTCCCTGCAGACTCATGGATGACTTTGTTAGAATTTCCAAGCTGGGCACCTTGTTCTACCCATTGCAATCTTTACACAGTCAGGCTAGAAAATGGAACCATCCTCAGACGATATCACTTGTCTCAGTTCATTGCTAAAATGATTGTTTATTTCTTACATGATTGTTATTCATGGTGGTAGTGAAAAACAGCAAAGAAGACATTTGATGATGAAATTTGTTAGGGGTTGGTCTTTGGTTGTTGATGGTTTTATTTTTCCTTTTTTCTTTTCTTTTCTTTTTTCTTTTCTTTTATCTTTATTGTTATTAATATTTTTTGGCTCACACCACGCTGACAAACATGCATTCAGGGAGGGAAGGAGAAGGGTCTTGATTCTGATATGGTCATGGATGATACATGCCATGGACTGCCCCAGGACACCAATCCCTACCCTCCCTTGGCTCCCATCACCACCTCCAAGAGAAGAAATGACCCAAACCAAAAAGGCAACTCTAAGAACAACAATAAAATGAATGATGAGGAATAATAACCAAAACAATAAAAATAATAATGCCCACAGAAAAGAAATAGCACCCTTTTACCCAACATCCATGAAAGGAGCAGAGGGCAGAGAGAAACGATGGGGCCTCAAAGCATGCACACACCATACACCGATACACCCATGCAGAAATTATCTGGAACCAAGAGAGAAGGCAGAAGAAAAACAAAACTGGGAAAGGGTGGGGAGAAATTAGGGAAAGAATCAAAATCCACTTCACACTTACATGCATTGAACAAACCGAAGAACAAGATGGAAGTGAAAAAAAAGCATTCAAAACTAAAAGGTAGTCTTTTCTCTGCCTGCCACCTCCCTTACTAAATAAAAGAAAAGAAAAGAAAAGAAAAAGTCCAAACCCAACCCCCAAATATATGAAAGATGAAAGGAGAATGAAGAGTGGGGAAAAATAAAAGAGAAGAAACTGAAATTGGGTTGATGATTGGTAGGTTGTTAGTAATGAGGAGGAAAATGAGGAAACAAATTCTGATGCAGGTAGGAAAATTCACGAGACAGGAACATGCCATGCAGAGTTTGTATGGAGAACATAATTGGTGGATATCCTTTTGGCCACGGTAGGGGAGTAAAGTAAAAGAAGGGTAAGAAAGAGTCTAGGAAGTGGAGTACTTTCCTCCCCAGATCACCTGTGGCAGCCGTGGCCATATAAAAGGGAAAGAGAAAAGGGACTAAGGAGTGGGAAAGGAGAAAAAAAGAAAAGAGGAAGAGTGAGAGGGAGAGGAAGGCACAGAAAGAAGGAAGTTCTCACTATAAATCTCTGTTGTCCCTAGTATGTAACTTGGAAGTTGTAAAATAAGAAAACAAAAGAAAACAAATTTAGCCAAATAGAGATTTAAAAAAAAAAAAAAAAAGCATTTTTTGGGGGAAAAAATTGAAAACTAGAGAAAAGGAAACCTTCCCCACAAAATTCAACCAAATATCATTTTTAGGACAAGTGCATCCCCTTCCATTTTTTTTTTAAGAAAAAGAAAGGCTTGCATTTAATGTAACAAAATCTTAAAAGAAGAAATGAGTCTAAAGAGGATAAAAGGGGGGGTTGGAGAGGAAAAGGGGGGCAACACACGGCAAACCCAAAAAAAGAGACAATAAGAATGATATCTACCAGACAATGTAGTTTGTTTACCATAGCGTGTCCGATGCCTGAGTGCTTTGCGGAGAAGGGGGAAGAAAGGAAATTAAAAATTGTGAACAGAACGATTGTTAATTAAAAAAACTAAAAACAAAGATGAGTCGTTAGGGTGTTAGTACATTAGTCGGTTAGTAAAATGACACATTGCATGAATGATCTTGTGTTAGTTTCTCAAAAAAAAGGCACCCGACACAGAAAAAGAGAGTGGGGGGAAGACAATGAGACCAGGACTCTATGGAAAACCATGCCACCTGGGGCACAGCCAGAAAAGGAGCTGCAGTCTACATGCCATTGCAGCTCCCTGCTTCTTCCAAATCTCTCTCAGACCACACCTCACCCGTTAGAATTAGCACCATACTTACTTCCTAAGGGCTTTCTGAATGGACACCGCCCACTCCCTTCCCACCCTCTAACACAAACCCATTCCACCTCTTCCAAAAGGAAAGACCCCCCAACAGGTACCATTCCACATGTAGAAAAACAGATACAAAGAACTGAAATACAAATATTTTGGGGTTTACTTTTTTCACATCTGACTATGACTACAATGTGGATAAATGATCATGAAATCCTCCCAAAAAGGAAAAAACTTAAAGCATTTACAGATCAAACCTAGCATAGAAAGTCTGCCTTATGTAGTGTACTCTAGGTTTCCATAGATAATTAAACATCTACAGCCTATTTCATTTTTGTGGATGTGTGCAACCAGAGAGAAACAGTTTTCCTTCAGTTTAGAATTAATAGAATGTATCAAAAAAAATTAGAATCTTCTTTATTACTCAATAAGGTCATTAATTTGTTTACTTGGCCAGAATGCTTTGGAATCTCTCTCCCCCAATTCCTCTTGAACAATGCTTTTCAAGCTTTTATGTAATTTATTGTATGGATAGCAGGGAAGACTGGCAGGTTAAACATGATTAGAAAAACCCTCTGGAAGACTGGAAGACTGGTAACCTCAGTTTTGTGTTTGTGATTTAACAAAAGTTAACACATAGAGGTAAAGCAATGAAAGTTATGGCCATGACCTTGGACTCAGGCAATGTCAAGGACCAATTACCACCCCACTACCACATACAAACACACAAATTCCTCACTACCTTGGTCCCTAATCCCAGTTATAGTTTGCAATAGATACAGGTAGTCCACATTCCTTCCTTTAATTGTAAGCCACAATAAAATACCTGGCCTTGGTCCTGACCTGGCTTAAAGGCAAAACCATGAATAGATGATCATGAAGGAAGAAATGAGGAGACTTCTGCTCCATTTGGTAATAAGTACTCCGGGAAACCCCAGGTAAACTTTACTCAATGAATTTTTGTCATAAAAGCCATTCAATCTTACCAAAAATATGAATAAGGCTGCTATAAGTTTGTTGTCAAATATTTATGGAGCTCTTTATAGTTTAATTGAAATAGACAGGAAGATCCCACCATTCAAATGTATCCCAGGGAACTCAAATAGATGTTATAAATATTATTTTAATGGACAAAATAATAATCTTATATTATTCACATTAAAATAATTGCATTTGCAAAATCAACTTTGCTTTTCAGAGATTTTCCTCTTTCAATAAATTGCATTTGGATGCAAAATTTAGTCAGAATTTCAATGAGGTTCAATTTTAGGTTCACTTTCTCACAGAAGATTAATACTCCCTCTGCCAAGAAATACCCCCAATACTGTAGGGCCTCTGTATCCCTGTCTAGAACAGAGAATTGCACTTAGCTGCATCCTTGGTGCCAGACAGATGCAGTCACCTTTGAAACAGAAAGCTCAGCCTGTAGATCATGTGCACGTCACAGCACGTCTATACCTAGACCATGGATGAGCTCATAATCCTTCTGGAACATAAGGTGCTTTGCATATTTAGCCACCACACATGGCTGCGGAAGATTGTAACCACCATTTTGCAAATGGAGACTGTGGTGGAGAAAGGTCAAATGGCTTGCCCAAGGGCACAGAGCAGAGTTGGGCCTTAGAACATGAAGGGCAGGGGCGGGAAAAACATCCAGGGTAGTTTTCCTCTAGCTGCTCTGATTAAAACAGCACAAACAATATTTGAATTACAGTTTGGTTTATCCTCTCTCCATTTAAAGGACTTAAGTGTGCCTGATACTATTTTAGAAAAGTGTTTTTAGTAGAAACAAAAGTGAGCCTTTCACAGGAGAATTGGAATCATTCCAGAATGGTAAGGAAGGGTGGTGGGAGAGAGGTAGAGAAACAAATTGGTGAGAATCATGACCTGATTGTGCTCTGAAGTACATGAAAAGTCTCTCCTCCACTGATTAATGCCTAAAGCGTGTTATTTTGTACCTGCCAATCAAAACTAGCAAAAGGTTGTATTTCACTTTTAGGTCTAGTCTCTGCAGCTCTCATGTAACAAGCCCTTATGTGTTAGCAAATGGATATTTGATTTGGGTTCTCTTGACAGTTGAGACGTTCTCTCCTGGGTAAGTATGGATGAGGAATGACGAAAGAAGATATTAGCAATAGGGTTCTTTGGCCTTGGAGGAAAAACATAGAACAATGATTCAAAAATATCAGATTCATGAATGTCAAGATGCTTGGGGACTCTAAGTCTTGTGTCATTTGGCATTTTTACCTGAGATAAATGTAATCTCCCAACAGGATGGCTTCCTTGACATACCTAAGTGTGGAAATGTGTTTCAAATGTGTGCCAGCCTATACCATTTGTTTAGTATTCGTAAGGAGTTACACTTTTATCAAACAGAAAACGTAGGCAGACACCTATCATTTCTTACGCTTTCACATTGACATTAGAAGACATTAAATCAATCATGTGGCAGAAGAAAATTTGGTAAGCACTTTTTGATAAGCACTTCAGAAAGTATAGTGTTTTCTGGTTAATAAAGCCTGGATGCCATCCAACTGGGTTTAACAACAGATTCGCAAATAGAAAAACCAAGTGAAAATGGCAACCTGGAAAAGGCGGTCTCAGCACAGACTTTGATTTTTATAGGAAACGGTTTTCTTTTACTGATGTGAGCTGATGAGGTATTATTATTGTTATCATTATTATTAGTCATGAAATTGAAAACAACTTCACTTGGCTAAGGCTTTCTGAGAATGTTGTCACCTGACGGAGGTGCCTGCTTAGAATCGGCAAGCGATGGGAGTTCCCAAGCACGGACAGAACCAGGAAAGGCTGCTCCAAAGTTGACTTTTTTATTTGGGTCCTTCCACTTTCCAGGCCTCCCAGTCAACTGAAGAGTCTCGGAGGGAGAGACAGGGGCAATAGAGTAGGACCACCGCATCAAGAACAGAGAAACAGAGGAATTCAGAAAGATCCCGGCTAATTAATTCCAAAGCTAGAGGTTAACATAAAAGAAAAAAATAGTTGGGAAAGGGTAGTAAATTAAAAGAGGAAAAGGAAGACTTTTTCTGGAAGGAATTAAAATTATGGCATCGTGGCAATGGCTAACTTAATTAAAAAGAAAA
Organism: Homo sapiens; assembly: GCF_000001405.40. Lineage (NCBI taxonomy): Eukaryota > Metazoa > Chordata > Mammalia > Primates > Hominidae > Homo > Homo sapiens. The sequence continues at coordinate 78,645,826 of NC_000014.9, read as the reverse complement.
ACATATATTCAAAGAATGAGGAAAATCTACGAAGCTGCAGAAACAAAATGCAGTCCCTAATTGAATTTAACAATAATACGATAAGATTCAAATGTAATTAAGAAAATGATCAAAGGAAAGCAGAATAAAAGGAATGAAAGTACTTACAACTTTTATTATCTATACAACTGAGTTGTTTTTTTTTTTCTTAAATAACAAGCACAGAGAGAGAATTGAAGTATGTGGAGAAACATATTTTAATAATTTTCCACGTGAAATTGCAAAGACTGGGAGAAAGTTAGACGTTAACATCTCCATCCCTGAATCTCCACCCCTCTCCACCTCACACCCATCACCTGCTTCACAAATTTACTACCCAGCCACCTAAGATGAGCCTTCCAGGAATTCTCTCCCCTCAGCCATTACCTGCCGGAGGTTGCGTGTCACTTTGACATCATGCCAGGCGTTGTCGTTGAATTTTCCATTCACTGGCTCCACAATGGCCTCAAAGGCCCCGGACCCCAGGTTAATGACCAAGGAGACCGCACCATCCTTCAGAGCCAGGTTGACATAGTCAGCCGACTTGCCCGTGTGCAGGATGAGGCCGTTACGCTGCCAGGTCTTAAAGGAGAGGGTGATTTCATCACTGCTGCTCTGGATCGGGTTCTGAGACAGGTCGTAGCACAGATACTCTGAGCCTCGGAAAGTGGCCACATTCTCCTCTCGAGCTATAGGAAAAGAAAAGAGGAAAGCAATCAGCACTTGTCTGGCAAGAGTCAGACCTATGCAAATACCAAAGAGAACACACCGCAGGGGCACTGCCCCGTTCTTGTGCTGATACCAACACAGCACTCCCTTCAATTCTTCTGCAAGTCCTATATCGAAACACCAGGGAAACTAGCAGCAGGGGTGACTGCAGAGAAACGACGTGTCCACACGAGGGTAGAAGACAAAACAAGATGGTGCAAAAGAGATTGCTGCCTTTCCTTCGAATTTTCTCAAGAAAAACCTAAAGGGAGGTTTCATGCAAAATGATCAAGTGAGGCTCGAGTTGCTTTTGCTTCAGGAATTGCTTTTAAATGCTTGTAGAAGAGCTGGTTTAGAATGGATAATTAACTGTTCTGACAAAGGACTCTCTAGCTCCAGGTAGCTTTTATTGACCAATAACTAAAAATAAATTACCCCGAAAGATCTGGCTGGGATTTTCATCTGTCAATAACTCAGCTAACTTTGGTTTCTATAATACAGTCCTAAGCCCCCTGGAACATGGCTGAGTTGTTAAGTAGGAGGTTGGACCTGAGCAGGTGATACAGCAGGTAAGGAGAGGGGAAGAGAATTAATTTGATATGTTTTGATAAGACAGCAATACCACTGTTAAACTCAAGACTCTCTGCTCTAGGGTATCCTGTTTTGAAGACCCTGGTTGGACTATCCTATGGCCACAGAACTAGAGTTCCACAGGGCCAGGACGGCATTCTCTTCTTCCCCACAGAACTATCCTTCCCCACAGAACTAGAGTTCCATGGGGCCAAGATCGCATTCTACTGGAGCCCATATACTCTTTCAAGACAATATTTCATAGACTGGGACCCTGTAATTGCCCACCCAAAAAGCCTTAAGCCTGTTTTTCAGGGCTTGTGCAGGCCTCTTCCCTGGATCCATCTTTCTTTTTTCTTCTTCTTCTTTTTATTTCCTTTTTTTTTTTTTTTTTTCTGAGTCTTGCTCTGTCACCAGGCTGGAGTGCAGTGGTGTGATCTCGGCTCACTGCAACCTCCGCCTCCCGGGTTCAAGCGATTCTCCTGCCTCAGCCTCCCAAGTAGCTGGGACTACAGGTGTGTGACAACACGCCCGACTAACTTTTGTATTTTTAGTAGAGACAGGGTTTCACCATGTTGGCCAGGATGGTCTCAATCTCTTGACTTTGTGATCTGCCTGCCTTGGCCTCCCAAAGTGTTAGGATTACAGGCGTGAGCCACTGCACCCAGCCCTTGATCCATCTTTCTAAAGGCAAACCATACATATTGCAAGGTCTGAGGAGTAGCCGTGGGAGACTATTTGCAGAGATGTGGATAAGGCTTCTCCATTAGGCTGGGGCAACCACATGCATTCATACCAGACCCTTCATGATATAGGACAAAGCCAAAGGTGGGAAGAGAAGGGAGTAGACCATGGGTTGAGGACTAGGGGTTGGCTGGTTCCCCTTGTGCTGCTATTTCCCAATGCAGAACTCCAAGGAATCCAAAAACTCTAAATTTGAGCCTGGCTTTCCAACTAGTTTTAAAGGTATATTTGTCAAGGTAAGAGGGTGAAATATATTTTATTTAATTATTTGTTGATTCGATCTATAATTTTGACACACAGTGTTATGACCTTCCATTTGTCTTCTTGCCAGATAGCCTTACTTAGAATGGTCTACTTCATACCAGAGTTGGTCAAAAGCTATCAAAAGCACCTCATTACTAAAAGAAAATGGCAACAATAGTTGAGGTATACAGTTTCCCTCTAAAGATTGGAGGCTACAAAATAAGGTTGAGAGAATTATATTTTCCCTGCCGGAACTACACTCCAGGCTAATTAACCAAAGCCAAGTCCACTTCAACTCAGATCTGTGTTAACCATTACAGCCCCAGGTAAATTTCTTAGGCAAAATGAATATTTTTTCATCATAAAGTAAGAGCTGTAAAAAGGAGATATTTTATAATGTGAAAAGACTTCTACCCACTACATATTGTTAAATTAATCTTAGCATTATGACATCATTAAAACATCAGCCTCAGCTTCATACTCCAGGGAGTTAAAGAAGAGATCAAGTTTCTCTTGTGTGTTCCAGAGCAGCCCAGTCATATGTATCTACCTGCATATGTCTGCTTGCACACACATTGGTATAAGCAAAAGAGACCTGTTCACCTATAAATGCTCACAGGGTAGCTTGCACATGTATAAGTAGTTAGCCCATAACTCATACTGGATTTTAGCAGAAATAGCCCCCCAAAAATAATAAAGCAGAAATTCAACACTGTCTGCGTGTTTGAAGTAGTTCTATCCACTCCCCAAATGTTCTGTCTATTGTCATGATCTCTCCCCTCATTTCTGAAGAATCGTCTTTGTTAAAATGCAATTGGACAAGGCCCTGCTCAGGAGACCTGGAGGTGACCCTGATCTAGAGTAGAAGGTGACAAATCAAATGGCGTTATCACAACTAAGCTCTTTTTCTACAGACATGGATGTCCACAAAGCCAACTACTGTGCATGTCCTTGGCACCGCAAGTGGTATATTAATGGGTGTCTTCTATAAACATTTAAGTTATACCTTGTGTGCCCACTGAACTGAGAAAAATGAGCAAGGAAAGTAGTGCCTATAAAGAGAAGCTTAAATTAATCATCCAGTACCCTTCAAAGGGGAAAAGTTTGACAGAACAGCAAGGCACCAGATATTATTTAATGTGCTACATGGTGCTTAATATTTTTTATATAATTAGAGCAAGGAGTCTGTCAAAATAATAAATTTTAGAGCTATAAGGGATTTTAGAGATGGCCTGATTTAATGCCCTTATTTTATTAAGGAAGAAATTGATGACTAGAAATAAGTGAGTTGCCTGAGACATCACAGTTAGTTTGTGGTACTCTGGGCTTGGGGCATGTCTGGTCTTTTCTTAGTCTAAATATTCATTATCTTCCCTTTGCCCATCACTCTGGATATTCCAGATGCTCCTACTTGTCTTGTCAAAGGCCACAGATGATTCCATGGAACTGTGCATTGACTGACAAACCATCCCAAACTTTGAATAAATTGAGCCAGAAACCAATTCCTCTCACCTTACATGAATCACTCATTCACCAAAAGAAATGTTTCCCTTTCAGCCCTTAGATCTGTATTTAAAGCAAAAACACTTCTTTTATGTGGGAGGCCACAGGGGAAAAAATGGCATCAGTGTAGAGAAGAGAATATCACCATAAATAAATAAGAACTAAAACCAACGTGAGGAAGAAAAGGCCTATGCAAATCACATGCATATTTATGCTAATCTCCATGCAACTATACCGAAGAAGATTTTATGTGGCCAAGTGCCTTCCTTTGCAAATATTTAACAGAAATTGCTGTAACCATTCACAACCTTCCCCATCTTTTCATCCAGTGAAGAATTTTCTCAGTTTACCTCTTCCCTGAGTCAGAGGAGGCTACCAAGATCAGCATTACCATGTTGGGATATCTCCTCCATTGGTCAACAAACAATAGACAACTGAAAGCTTCTCTCTGAATCGTATCCTACATAAGCAAATGTATATCATTTTCAAGTGATGGAATAATTTTCCCCTACATGTTATGGGGTAAGAGGCACTAGCAATGCATAACCCAGTCCTTTTCTTTTTTTCTTGAGACAGAGTCTCGCTCTGTCCCCCAGGCTGGAGTGCAGTGGCACGACCTCGACTCACTGCAAGCTCTGCCTCCCAATAACCCAGTCTTTAAAAGAGCAAATCAAGGGCTAGAAAGGAGAAGGAGAAAAAAATGAGGACCTTGAAGAAATCATTGTTTTGTCCACTTGCACAACTGACATGATTTTTCTTCTAAGACCTCCAATCTATCTTAATTTCCTTCCAGTAGCTGAGACTCAACCACTCTCTTATCACCTTGAAAACCATACTAAGTTGACAGTAAGGGTAACTAAAAGGGGCAAAACCAAATAGTGACAAACATGCATTTCTAACCTTATTCAATCCTTTGAATCCTCCATTAGAAAAAACAAAATAGCACCCAAAAATCTGTTTTTTATACTTGGTGTTTTTACTGAGAAGTAGGTTGAAGAGACAATGCAGTCACCTTGTATTTATTCAAGCTAAATAGGTGGAGAAAATGAATGCAGGGGATTATGTAATACAGTACACAACAGCTTAGCATAAAACTATAGCTTGGCAAGAGAGGAGGCACTGACATAGCTAATGGACTGTTTAGATCCATTTAAATTATATCATCCCAAAGTTTACAATCAACTGCATAAGTGTAAAAATGAAAAGTATTATTCTCACTGCATGAAAAGCAAAGCTCAACTCTGTATGACAACAAATCATTTATCCATTATTTGTAAGTGTCCAATTGATTAAACACTAGATGCAATCTAGATATGTATAACTCAAGATTTTAAATCAGTTTGTATAAGATATATGAAGTACTGATCTTTCAAATGGCTGATTAATTCAATACTGATATATACTTAGTATTAATAAGCATTTACTTAATTCTGTTCTTCACTTCTTTCCCCCTAAAAGACACCCAACTTATAATTTATATAATAATCACTCTATTTCTCTGAGAAATTCCAAAGCAGATTAAAATACTCAGTGTTATATTTTATTACTATGCAATCTAAGAAGTGTGGGGAAAATGCATGCAACTGTTTAATTAGGCCTGCCATTCCTAATGGCTTGGTGTCTTAAAAACCCAAACTGGGCTTTAAGGGCAAAAAATTTGAACTTCTATAAGTTATGGGGAACCATTGCATAATTTTACTGAGAAGGATAGAAGGATTCAACCTGTATTTTTAAGAGATTGCATAATCTTTTAGAAATACATTTGAACTACTTTTTCAGGGGTTGCCTGGAACTGGTTCAGCCTAGATGTTGATATAGTTCCTGGATATAGTGAGGTTTACACTTCACTGGGCAAGAATGTAAGCAGAAGTTCCTAGCAGAACAACCTAAGAGAGGCAGAGGCACAGCAAGCCAGAGAACACAGGAGGAAACCAAAGTGTGGATACTTAAGATCCAAATGCAATCATTGGAAAGCCAAAGACCAAAGGCAAAATTTGGCAGAAAAAGACAAAGAATTAGTCAAGAAAGGACTGAAAATGAAAACATGTCAGACATTGATAAAGAAGGATTCTAGGGCCATTTGCAAGCAGGTATTTACATGCATCTGGACGTGTCATGGATTTCCAAATGCCTTCTTAATCATTATTTGTATCCTCTCAATGTTCTGTGAGGTCATTTTACTATGATTACACCAATGTGAGGAAATAGAGACACATAGAGTTTACAGGGGTCATACAAGGTACTACGGAGTGCCATTTCCAAAACTGTAACGCTATGATTTTCATTCCATTGCTTTTCCTACTACACCATACCACTACTTTGCCAGGAACTCAGATTCCCAAAGCAGATGCCTAGCACCCTATATCTGATATTCTGCAGCTGCATGAGGTTCAACCTGTTGAAAGGTAAAACTACTGACAATGGTAGACAAGAGCCCTGGTAGGCAGCAGGAAACAAAGCAGGCAAGTAGGGGAGTAGGTTGACTTTCTTTCCAAATTCTCAACAACAAGCTGAAAAAAGCCAATCTGAGAAGATAACACTCTTTACCTCCAACAGAGAGCCTTAGAAATGGAATTTTTAGATACTTAGAAGAGCCCGTTAAAATGCTGACCCCTCTGAAGTGGCTGTAGCCAGTGGTCCTGTGAAGAACACCTGCTGAGCTCCAGAAAGGAGTGGGAGCCAGCTTCCTGATGATGAGCCTCAGAGACACAGCGAAATTGTTCTCATTGTAGCATGCAGCCTTTGTCCTTCAAATTGGTCTCGTACAGCAGCACAGTGCAGTACTTTAGTCTGTATTCATGCAAAGATAACCTGGCTGCCCATCCTGGCCTGGCCCACCTGGAAACTAATGAGGCACAAAAACACGTGGGCTACTATTGCCTTGCCTGCTAGGCAAAGAGATGGCCTGTGGTCTTGTGGCCAGCCTGTGAACTCATTTACTCTCTGTGAAGACAAACCCAGCAGGGGCTATATTGTGCCTTCTCCACCAGTGCAACTGCAATCAGAGGTTGGAGGTTCTCAAGTCGTGAACTCACAGATCACCCAATTCTGGCCAGTGCTTTCCAGGCAAAGAAGCCTCAGTAATGACAAAAGAAGTAATGGCTCCAAGGCAAAAGAGTACACAACTGCAGAAAGAAACGTCTAGGGAATAAGTCCACGATTGCACAGTTCTACTCATTCCTGGGGGATGGAGGGGCTGCATATACCCTCAGTGCTGAAAGGTATATTGAGCTAAAACAGCAATTTGAGTATTTTGCTGGCAAAAGAACAAGGCAAGTATGAGTTCGTTCCTCTACAAGTCTGTTTCCTTACTATCCAACCTGCTAAGAATCCAATATACTGAACAGGAACACCTACCTCTAAGAGCCTCTTAGGAAGCTGTGAGCAGACATCCAAGTTATCTGCTGAGCTGTGAGATGATCATATTTGCAAAAGTGAGGGGAAAGTAGAAATTCTTTTAGTGGAGTGAATTCTATTGTACACTTAATGACATTTCCTGCTAGAATTTAGGGAGGAACAGAATGATTGTGTTAAAAGGCAAAAGATTGCACAAGTGAACTGCACTCTTGGCTCTCCCTGTCTCATTTCCCTTACAATGTATTTTAGGGCCAAAGAAAGCATTAAGAGAGATCAAGCTGCAGAGCCATCCCCCAAGGACAAACAACAAAATTCTTTACCTGACACATCCCATCACACAGGTATTTTAAAAGCAGAGTGTACCAGCAGACGGGAAATTGTGTCGCCCTGAGCAATCCTGCACTACAAAAGAAAATACACAGGAAATCTGACCTCCTGAGGCCATTTCCAACCCTTATCCTCAGACTCTCCGTAGGAAAGATGCAGCAGAGAAATAAATAGACTTTTCCACACTGCCTGGGTCACTCACTAGCCTGCAGATGCTTCTTGAAAGTGATGAGAAGGAAAATAGTAAATCAACTTGTCACTTGGAAAATAAACAGCCAGCATCCTGGTGAGGGAAGCTGCCTCCGTCCACAGAAGAATGGCCTGGAAAACCACGCTTCACTGAAATCACTAGAAAGCTAATGGTATCCTAAAGACTGAATTGCTGTCAACTGCATTACAATAAAAGTTACATTTTTGTTTATTCACTTAAAAAGTAAAGATTCACAGGTGCCTACTATGCACCAGGTAATGTGTTCAGTGCTGAATGCACTTAAGTCACATGGCAACCTTGTAAGTATAAATCATTAGCTGACATTTTACAAAAAAAAGAAATTGTAAAGCTAAAAAATTTTGAATGCCTGCTATGTGCCAGGCCCTGACAACGGATTCATGTTAACAGGGCACTCTGCCTGGTTGAACAGTGGACTTACATTATGAACTGTGATGAGAAAAGCTTTCAATCAGACAGATGCGGGTTTGGCAGCCAGCTCTGAAACTTATCTAAATCTATGGAACTCTAGCTTATTACTTAACTTCTCTAACCCTTCTTTCCCTAATCTACAAAATGGGAATAACCATAGTACATATTTCATAGAGTTGCTGTGAGGCAGGAATACAATAAAGTTCTTGGCCCAGTTCCCAGCCATAGAAGTGTTAGCTATCATTGTTGTTGAGAAGGTATGCACAAGCAAATAATTACCAGTGTAGTAAGGGTTTGGTAGGTGATATAGGCACACAGAAGAGGGAATAACTGACCCTGGGCATAAGAGAAGTTTCCATACAGGAGGTCATACTTAAAATGTGTCTTGAGTTATGAATAGTTTACCTACAAAGGGAGGAATGAAATGCTAATTAGAAGAAACAGCATATCCATTGGTGTGGTCATTAGAAGAGCACAGAGTATTTAGGAGAAGGTGAAAAGTGCAAGGTGGCTAGAGCAATGGACACATGTATAGGCTCAAGATGCAGACTGGGGCCTTCTCTACATTCTTGAGCACTGGGGATGGGGAATTAGCAGAGAAGAAATTCAGCTAATGAGTGGCACAATTATACTTGTATTGTACCAGGGGTCCAGTGGGTGGACAAATGGCTAGAGAGGTGAAGAGGGAGCCAGGAGACATTCCTAAGATAGGATGGATATTGCTAAAAAATAAAAAATAAAAAAAAACACAGAACATGAGCCAATTGTTTGCCAATTGTACTGCACACAATTGTACTGCCTGTCTTCCCACTTATAATAATTTATGTAATATAGGGATCCAGGAGACATTTCTAAGATAGGACGGATATTGCTAAAAAAATAAAAAATAAAAAAAGAAATACACAACCTGGGCCAATTGTACTGCACATGCCTGTCTTCCCACTTACAATAATTTATGTAATGTACTGTATATTTTACTTTCCGTCAACCACCAGATCCATATAAGCAAAACTGTAATTATGCTTCTTTCAGTATTCGTTTCTCATTTTAATTATGGGTCAGTCAATCAAACAAGCATTGAACACAAATAGTGCACTCCGTCTTACAGAGGGGAATCCATTTTCCTGCCCCCGTGACTCCACGAGAACATTTCCTCCCCATTCCCCAGAAGAGATCATTTTGGAGTAACACTTTGACCATGTCTCCTTTATTCATTCTCCTGCAGTGATTCATCTGCTTGGTGCTGTAGTAAGGGTCTGATACCCTAGTTCTACATTTCGTAATTAGATAGTCACTATTCCCAGGTGACCTGCCTTTTACTCTATTTCTTTCTACAAGGCTTGTGAGTTCTCCTTTAGGCAGTCCCATGCAGTAATCCTTACCACAGTAAACTCTGCCCTTATGGAAGAAGGCCTGCAGTTTTCTGGCTCTTCTAACTGTTGCTGAGTAGCTGAGTTTAATTCAAAGGAAAAATTATAAAGAAGCCCAATTTTACTGCAGTAAAAGCCACATGCTCTAACTCTACCAGCAATAGAACTGATATTTGGATCCTTGACACAATTATGATTTGACTCTTATGTCTATTACACAATCAGTTCAGAAATCAGAGGGAAATGTTATGGTTGTCACCTCAGCGCTCAACAAATATTGAAATAGGCACCAAAATAAAAGTATCAGGAGAAATTCAGGATATCAAACTGGTCCTTGGGTTGCTTTCACTGTGACTGGAGGGATAATAGGCACATCTGGAGCCACATGAGTTCAATGACAAGAAAATATATCAATAATGTCAAAGCCAGCTCTAGCCTACAGTGTTTCCTAAAAATACATTTCCTGAAGTTACACAGAGTATATAAGTAATTAGGATGGTGGAGAACTTAACCAGAATTGACTTCCTATAAATAAGTTTCACATAGAATTTTGAAGTTTTTGAACAAAAAAAATTGTACAATATATACATACTCACAAACTTACATATCCTTTCACCCTTGGCCAAGACCAAAAAGAATCATCAAAAGTACTCAATAACTAAGGCGATTATACTGGAATAGCAAATGCCATGCTGTCACACTACATTCTGTGGACTTCATAAGGACAAAAATGTTAGGAGGGACACAGAGCTGGAGAGGAGAGGTCTGTGTCCCTAGTAACACTGTATATTTTTGTATAATTTTCATACAAACAAAATTAATAATAATGAAAAATATCCACAATGAATCTAGAGCCCAAAGTAGAGCATCTGAAATGTTTTTTATATACAGTAGCACACATATCAACACTAATTGCTACCAAAATTAGATACTCACTATATTCACACATACATGTTTAGAAAATAATATAGAAGTCATGAAGGTTTACAGAATTTGGGAAAACTCATACAGATATTTAGATATTTCAAAGCAATAAGTATGAATTTTTTACCATATGAACTTTAAAATGTTTATTTCTATCAAATATCTCTTTAGCCCAAGATGAAAACAAGTAAAGAATTCTCTGTAACAATTATCACCATAGTATCAGAAGAAATCTTAGAAGACAATGTAATCTACTTCCTGCCTTAATAAATCTGCAATTAGATTATATTTTTGGTAAAACTCCCCACCTTTAAGTATCTAGAGAAAACAAGACAATCAGATATTATGTGAAACTTCCTACAGATATTTTAGGAGCCAAATGCTTTCTGATCCTAAAACAGGAAAGTGGGATCTAGAGGTGGTACCAAGTTTTGCTTGGGTGATGAACAGGGAAGTATAAGGTATTAAAGAATTTTACTTAACATGTCCTTCCTTCAGCCCAGAATATATAGAGAATAATGAATATAAATGATGAGGGGCTGATAAAATTGACCCCCACTAATTTATATATATATACACATACATACACATAGCTATATAGTGATCACTAATTATTTGATACTACAGCTCTATTTGTATGTAACAAGAATAAGAAATATGTATACAGAAAATCTCCCCATCAACTTCAGGTAGTGGTTACTTTGGAGGAGGAAGAGAATAAATGGAACCAGGAAGGTATTCGAACATGACTAAGTCTTTACAAAAAGATATAAAGCAAAAATGGCAAAACATTAAGATTTGTTCAATCTGAGTGATGGGTAAAGCAATGTTTGCAATATCCTCTACTATAGGTTCTACATGTTTTATGTTTGAAATACTTCATCATTTTTTGAAAAGTTAAATCTCTGCTGCCAATAAAACGTCTAACCGCCCAATAAATCTTGAATGATTCTTTGGTTATTTGATTTATGGATGTCAACTTTTTAACCATACGCTGTGAGCAGCAATTTTTCTTGCCTTTTCAAAATCTCCTGTTTACCCAGAATTTGTTAAGTAAAGACCTGTGGAATTGAATTGAAATGAAGTTGAGTTGGTCACAGTGATTCTAAAGTTGCCAATTCCTCCTCCTGCCCCATCGTTGCTTTCCACGCTCTTTCTGGAGACCCACTGCTCCGTGCGTTGGCATCAGAGTTCAGCCTACCTTCCTAAGGGCAACAGGAGGAAATGTTGCTGGAAGCTGAGGGATATGGAAGACACGTTAATCTGTTATGATGGGGTAGTTCCACAGCAGACACAGAGAGTCAAACAAGGCTGGAGTCTGGAGTAAGTGACAGGTACATCTGCCACAAGTCTCCTAATGCTTTTCCTTTCCACAGCAGAATAAAATCATGCTAGTTCTTTAAGAAAATCCCCATTGAGAAGCCTGAATCTGTGCCCATCCTCTTAGCCTTCCCCTGCAGGGGGAGGGAGGGCAGCCCAGCTCCTCCTTTGTTAGCACTGTGGGCTCTAGCCTGCAAGTCTAGACAGAGTGGCTTGTTAAAAGGACCTGGAGTCAATGCCTGAACAAGATCAATAGGGCTTTTTATGACACAATGAAAACTTTCTATTTTGTTAAATGTGGTTAATTTACCATTTCTGCAGTACTCTTAAAGCTTTCAATGCCAAGGACAAGAGCCCAGGTGATTAAAACCCTGTTTGGAGACACAGACTGGGAAAATTTGCCAATGCGGAGGTGCAAATCCTAGAAACCTGGGCTATGTCTTCTTTTATAGCTACATATGCACTTCCTTTTCCTCCCAAAGAAGTAAATATGGCAGTGAGGAGGAGAAAGCTGATACTAATAAAAATTAAAACTGCCCCATTCCAATGCTTTCAAGAAGGGACTGCTAATTCCCAGGGTCTGAAATAATTAAATGAAAGAATCTGAATGGATAGGTGAAAGAGGATGGGATATGTTGAAGGGGAGTGGGGAGGGAGAGTTCTCTAAAATGGATGCAGACTTAAAAATCGGTGACCTGATTCAAGAAACCTAAATAAAGAAGAAAATCTTTAGTGATTGCATATTCAATTATAGTACTAATATGGTGCATAAAACTAGAAGAAAGTATTTATTTCATTTTTGTCATTTCTTCATCTCAGGCTATTACCAGTCTCTTTTTTTTTTTTTTTTTGACAGAGTCTCGCTCTGTAGCCCAGGCTGAGTGCAGTGGCGCGATCTTGGCTCACTGCAAGCTCTGCCTCCCGGGTTCATGCCATTCTCCTGCCTCAGCCTCCCGAGTAGCTAGGACTACAGGCACCCGCCACCACACCAGGCTAATTTTTTTTTTAATTTTTTATTTTTTTATATTTTTAGTAGAGATGGGGTTTCACCGTGTTAGCCAGGATGGTCTCAATCTCCTGACCTCATGATCTGCCCGTCTCGGCCTCCCAAAGTGCTGGGATTACATGCGTGAGCCACTACGCCCAGCCGACTATTACCAGTCTTTTTAAGCATCAGAAGATTTTTTATTTTTGCTATAGCATACAAAGAACAGGAAATTAACATTTATTGAACCTGTATTATGCTTCAATGAAACAAACACGATGTAAATAGCATTTGACAAGAATTAACCTGTTTTAGTGATTTAAAGTTACAAGAGTTCAAAACAACACAGAACAAATGAATTATTAATAGAGATAGCATATCTACATGCTCATATTTCATCTGAAATGAGAACTTTTTATTAGGATACTTTGTATATTTCTTATTTATCCCTCACAAAAGCCCTGTGAAATAAAGTTTTACTAGCCCATTTTTCAAATGATAAAACTAAGGCTCAGAAGGGACTAAATCCTTCTAATATTTCCAGTTGAAAGCAGATCCAAAATACAAGCCAATGTTAACCTCCAAAGACTATATGCTTTCCATTAGATCATGCTGCTTCCTATTTAGGTTTGTGTATCTTTTGCAAAGACCCCTGTCAATAATATGCCTGTGGGAGACGAGCTATTCATTTCTTTAAAAAAAAAAATACACGTTTGCATAGCATGTCACATATTCCAAACCACTTTCACATACATTATCTGATTTTTTAAAGTATAAGCACCCTTCACCAGCTGCTAAAGGAACCTGTATCTGCTCAACAAGGCTAGATTTTCAGCAAAAACTTAGAGGTATTAACCATATACTTTGGGATATAAATACGGATCATAAAACAATAGGAAAAAAATCATGGGAATTGTGTATATTCACTACACGATATAAATGCTAAAATTATCTTAATTATGAGAGCATAAATAAGGAAATCCACTTTTTTTTTTTTTTTTTTTGAGACGGAGTCTCGCTCTGTCGCCCAGGCTGGAGTGCAGTGGCGCGATCTCGGCTCACTGCAAGCTCCGCCTCCTGGGTTCACACCATTCTCCTGCCTCAGCCGCCTGAGAAGGTGGGACTACAGGCAGCCGCCACCACGCCCGGCTAATTTTTTGTATTTTTTTTTTTTAGCAGAGACGGGGTTTCACCAAATTAGCCAGGATGGTCTTGATCTCCTGACCTGATCCTCCTGATCCTCCTGATCCTGCCGCCTCAGCCTCCAAAGTGCTGGGATTACAGGCATGAGCCTGATACATTGAGTCTAATGCTCCTTTAACCATTTACAGATGCTGCAACACCCCAACAACCCCATCCAAAGCCAAACAGCTAGAATCAGAGCTATGACACCAGAGGGCTAAGGTCAGAAATATGCTCAGGGATTGTGCAAGGTAGCTGCAGAAAGGGAAATGGTTAGTTGATTTGTGATTAAAAGAAACAACAAAACTGAGAGTATTAAGCCTCTCTGAAATGAACACTCAAATTGGTTTAGTTTTGTAACTTGTAAAGACATTTGTGATGGATAATTTACATTTCCTATGCTATCCATGAAACCAAAATTCTAAACCTCTTCAGAAATACCGGATATGATTTATCAATGATTTTTTTAATCCACGAGTTATGACAAAACTGTGAATGATTTGGATATCTCAACTGTGGTAGGAGATCCCAGACTTAGAGAAGTTGTGATATTTGTACATATCAGCAGTTGGTCAAGGTTTCTGACCACACTTTGTAGATGAATGAATCAGAACAAAGAAAAGCAAGAATACTTGGTTAGAATACACAAAAACCTTGTCCAGGAATTAAGAAAATGAGGACCGGTGGCTCATCCCTGCCAGATGTAGTGAAATCTCCATGTAGGTATCTGCAAAGATGTATCTTGCTACTGATAGAAGTTGAGATCTAAGAGGATGTTAAATGAACCTGATTCTCTGATTTACAGGCCCGGAAACTTGGTCTTATCTGAATGATTATCTCATGGGAGGTTGACCACACCAACTATAATGAACATGAGACTAGGATAAACAACAGAATGCCATTAAAATAATTTACAATAAAAACTTACTATCAAAAAACTCTACAGTCCACAGACTTAGATTTCAACTATTGATCCCCAAGCAATGGTCTAAGGGAAAGTTTTCATCAATCTATAATACATTTAGAAAAATGGCCGGGTGCAGCGGCTCACGTCTGTAATCCCAGCACTTTGGGAGGCCGAGGTGGGCGGACCACGAGGTCAGGAGATCGAGACCATCCTGGCTAACACGGTGAAACCCCGTCTCTACTAAAAATACAGAAAAAGTAGCTGGGTGTTGTGGCAGGCACCTGCAGTCCCAGCTACTCTGGAAGATGAGGCAGGAGAATGGCGTGAACCCAGGAGGCGGAGCTTGCCGTGAGCCAAGATCGCGCCACTGCACTCCAGCCTGGGTGACAGAATGAGACTCCGTCTCAAAAACAACAAAAAAAAAAAAAAAAGAAAGAAAGAAAGAAAAATAAGAAGAGTGTAGTACATTTGTAGTAAAAGCTAAATTTATGCACTGTGCATTTATTCAACAAATATTTATGTAGGATCTATGCCACACCACACACTGCTAGGCACTGGGAACATAGTGATAAACACATCACTCTGGAACCCTTGTAAAATTTACATTCTACTCCTTTCTACTTTTTTGGTTTTGTAATTTCCTGTCTTATAAAATGATGGCAAGGATAGACAAAATTTGTTAATGTTATTATTTAAATAAATAGAAAAGTAGTCAACTCTATTTTCTTTTTTCATAAAAATTTTCTTCATCAACAAGATCCAAAAGTTATAAATAATCTGGAACCAGAGATTCTTTTCGTTTTGAGTTGTCAGTCAGATGTTAGTCTAAACATGGTGCTGTCCTGAAAAGAGGTCCACCAGGTGCTTCAAGTAGAATAACCAGCCATCCCAATTTGCCTAGAAATGAGAAGTTCACTAGGACTTTTAGTGCTAAAATAGCTGGTTCCTAGAAAACCAGGAAGGCTGGTCATTCTACATGGATCAGATGTCAGAAGGTAAAAAATAAAGCACATCAAGTAAAAACTCTCCATTAGCTAGAATCATTGGCAAATAAAGGGCATCGAGTTAGTGTGATGTTTTTGTTAGCTATTAATTTCTAATCATTGTAAATTTGGCATTTTGGTTTTTGAAGAACTAGTAATTACATGAACAATATAAGTAATGTATTCATTGTTATGGTATAATACTTTTTAAAGTCATTATTTTCTGCTAACCTAAAGTCATCCTATGAATAAGGTGAACTCCCTTTGAGAATTCAGAAGAGTCTTTGAGATTCCATAGCACCTCACAGTCATCTAGCTCATTATCAATTATCATTGTACACCACCATGAATAAACTGCTTTTGCTTTTGCAATTGTTTGAATTTGGGATCACAAGTGTCCTCTGTATTATAAGTAGCTAATTACGTTGTATGGAATGATTTGTGCAAACAGAAGTGTTCTCTCAAGGATTACATGGATAACTCCAGAAACAGGCAGAAACTTCACAAAAGCTTTAGGATGGCAGCCTCCAGTGCATCCAGGTTTGGCAGAAAAGATCTGTCTTGCATTCCCGAGTGCTGCTCATTCCTCCTTCCCCTCCATGCTACCCTCCTAACTCTGCTTCAACCAGCTATGAGCATCCATCTGCTGGGGCCTTTTGAGCATTCCTCAATGACATTGTGTCACTTTATGAAAGAGTAATGATGTACCACTACCTCGGCTAAAGTAGAAAAGTAAGAAGACATCATAGAAGAAAGGAGAGAGAAAGGAGCCAATACTTATTTTTTCTCTATTACGTGCCTGTCATCGCAAGAGGCCCTTTACAAATAGTCTCCTCAATTCTATAACCTTAAACAGTAAGCATCATTATCACTGTTTCATACCAGGAAACTCCCAGAGCCCTTGAAATGGGGGTGATGATAGTGATGATGCCAGCTACCATTTTTGAAGCTTATTGTGTATCAGGGCTTTAGCTCTGGCTTTGTATTAATGTTTCATAGAATCTTCACAACAACCTATTTAGGTATTATTATTGACAGTTTTCAAGGAGGGGAGCTGAGATTTAGGGGTCCAGGGTCATCCAATTAGAATAATAATTGACAAGGGAATTTAGAATGAAGCTAGAATTGGGTATAACTCCAACCTTCTTGTTTCTCCTACCAAAACAAGAGTTTGTTTTGGGTAAAAGGCACTGCAGTGAGAGCAGAAGCTAAGCAATTCACTGTGTGATCTTCTAGGGCTTCTGTGGCTGCTAGCCTGGACAGTGGTTCTTTCCCGAGGGTTCTCCCAAGGTGACAGAGCTCTAGTTAAAACCCTTTGGCTCCCTTTTCTATGGCAAGACAGCAGAACTACCAATATAACCAGATTACATATCCTTTATGGCCAACATTATCTACCCCAATTCCTCTTTGTACCCAACCATTACTGGGGTTGGCCAGGGAGAGCCAAATAAACATAGTTAACTGTGTGTTACTTGAAGGCTTTAAGTTACCCACTCACTCAATAATTTTATTCATTCATTCAGCAAACCTTTATTGAGAACACTTGTCATGTGCCAGGTTGACAGTGAAAACAGGAGTTCTGTCACATTTTAGCATGTCATATTTTTCAGGTACATTATGGTAGGAAGTATCCTTAAATCAGGTTATTGTGAAGTATAAAAAAATTGTTTTGAAAACATGAAGAATTTGCTGAGCCATATTGGCTTATGCCTGAAATCCTGGTGACTCAGAAGGATCACTTGAAGCCAGGAGTTCCAGACCAGCCTGGGCAACAAAGAGACCCTATCTCTACAAAAAATAAAAAGATTATCTGGGCACGGTGGCATGTGTCTATAGTCCCAGCTACTTGGGAGGCTGAGGCAGGAGTGTTGTTTGAGCCCAGGAGTTCGAGGCTGCAGTGAGTCATGATCACACTACTGCACTCCAGCCTGAGTGACAGCGTAAGATTTGGTCTCTTAAAAAAAAAAAAAAAAAGAACTCTGCAATGCTATGGTATTATCCATATCAACTATTCTTTTTCCCATTCCAGAAGATGACCACCATTTCTTTAAAAGCTCTGCAGCACTCCATCATGAATTTTTGCATAGGCTATTTGGATGAGTTCCAAGGGCTTTGACTTTGGGTTTACCTCAAGGTACTTACATAAAAAGGAATTAACTGGTTTTCATAGCCATGTCCAAGAAGGGGTATGCTCCTCACTTCTACTTTGCAAATGATATCAGGAAGATGAATTCTAGATATTATCTATGAAAAGTGCTTTAAAAACCACACATTTTCTACTTCTTTTTACAAGGCTAGTATAGTTTCATGCTTTCCCAAAGTAATTAGCAATATACCCAAGACCAGAACCTAGGCTTTCTGATTTTTATATAAGTTCATTAGTTGTAAAATAACCATGAAGCAGATATATTAACAGGGGACAACTTTGATTTCCAGGATGTTAGATTCCTAATTCCCAGTTGAGTCCTTACTCCAAGCCTCCTGCATGTGTGCCTCATCCAGATTCACATTTCCATCAACGTCCCAGAGTCACTGGAGCTGGCACTGGGCAGCACCTGCCTCTGGAAAAGGGCTCTGGGTAAGTAATGCACTGCTTAGTGCTCACATAGCCAAGCTGCTCATTTCATGTAAGTTGCCTTTTCTACTCATTGAGCTCTTTTTTTCTTTCCACTGCAACAGTGTAGCCTCTATGACTTCAGGGAGAGAATGCTGCCTAAATGACTCCAATCCAGTCTCCTGAAGGCCTTATCAGCTGTGTACAGCCCCTCTTCTGACAGCTGACCTTTCCCACTGTGCTCAAGTCTAGGGAAAAACAAAGGCACTGAAACAATTAAAAACAGTGAAAGAAGAGGGAAATTGAAAAAGAAACTCTAGCCTGATGCAGAGCAGTCTAATAAAAATGAGAGAGAGAGAGAGAGAGAGAGAGAGAGAGAGAGAGAGAAGGGAGGGAGGGAGGAAGGGAGGGAAAGAGAAACAAACAAACAAAAAAGCTAAGAGAGTGAAAAAGGACAAGCTAAAGAAGATTGGATTCTCCCAGACCTCTTTATTTCTCTTCCTGATGGCTGTAGAAGGCATGAAAGGGCTGTTAATAAATCTGAGAGCCATGCTGGTAGGGGAAAATAAAGAGGACAAGAAAAGAAGGAGAAGTTATGGCATGCAATGGCTTGTGATATATAAAATGCTTCTCCACTCTCTGTGAGCCCTGACGGGCATTCCAAGTGATAAGAGTGCTCTAGGCCTCAGTGCTCTCTGAAAGACAATCTCCTTTTTTCAATAACAGAGGAGCCAACCACCTGGCCTCCTACCTACCCTCAAAAACCCTCCAGGCAGGGATAGCCCTCTGAAGACCCTATAAGCACATTCCTTTATGTCATCACTACTTGGCAAATTGCTTTCCTCTTCCATCTCATCTGAAATACATGAATGACTTTTTATCTGACATTGACATAGACCACTTTGGGGAGATATATGTACATCCATTCACATAGAGGTCAGAACATTCTTGATATTTTGCAATAAAATTACTTGTAAACAAACATACATTCCTGAAGTCAAAAATTATATGTATTTTTAAATTCTTTATATGTATTTTGAAGGGAAAAAATAATAACGATTGATGCCTTTAACTCTCTGGATGGAGTTTAGGAAGCACCCATGATGATTGTTTTCTACAGATCTGTGAAAGATGCATTTCATTTTGCTCTCCCTGTTGAATATGACACAAACTATATTGACACAGGTGCCTTTTTAGACATATTTGCAGTGCAATCCTCCCACCCTTGAAGAGATGAGAGCTGCGCACTGTAGTTAAAGCTCACCACGTAACAAGCTATGTAAAGGGAAGTGAATCTGAGAAGGGTCAGGTGTTGCTGGAGTACCTTTCCGGGGTTCTGAGTGGTTCCCCAGATTGGATGCTGCAAGTGCCTTGCTGCCTTAAAAGTTGTTTTTCACTGGCCATAGGGCTGCACTGTTTAATAATAATGGCAATGACCAATTCTAGATGGCTGGTCAATGCTGAGCACCAGGCTTACCTCCTTGCCTGGACTATTGTGTGGAGCCGTCACAACTCAGAGACAAGTGTTGTGACAGTCTCTTCTACAGACATGGGAGTTGAGGCTTGGTAACCTGTCCATTGAAAGAGGTAGCATCGAGGATCAAAACCAGGTTTTGCTGACCCCAAATCCTTTACTCACTCTTTACTACTGCCCTGTACTGCCTTGCCAGGTAACCTTGAGCCTCACACACACATGGACTGAGATCCATCAATTGATGCCTTCTCTGAAGCCCCAAAGACTACTTCAGCTTTCCAGGGATGCAAGCCTGGGGAAGTTCTGAGGATGTGACTGATTGTTGAGCATCATTTCTTCTACACCTCTGATGGAGGATATAACCTGTGTCCTCCCAGTCTGAAGATAAGAAGGTTCCCTTTCAGCTCCTATGCCTAGCTCTTTCCTGTCCAAGTCCTTCCCAGATGCAGACAACCCAGGCTAAGTCCAAGAGAACCATGCCTCCCTGGAGAGTACAAGGAGGTTGCCAGTAACCTTCCTTTGATGTAAGAGATTAGTATTTCTGGTTTTCTATTAGTCACAAGCTAAATTAAAAAACCAACAAAAGAAATCAAAACAAAACCCAAAATCACAACTTTGGATGCTCTTGCAAAAGCATAGTGTTGGTTGTGGGATCTTACCAAGATTAATATCTTTTGGGTATGGTGAGTTGGGAGAGAAGCAAGTCCCATGGCTTATCTTATACTCTATCATGGATAAATCTTAAAAGCAAAAAGAATAATCCCTCGTGTTTCTCATAAGATTCCAGTACAATTTTAAAAAAATGTATTCTTCATAACTAGAAGGAAACTTGGAGATGTCCCTAGTCAAATGCCCTCATTTTAAAGATAAGGAACAGGGACCAGGTGCGGTGGCTCACGCCTGTAATCCCAACACTTTGGGAGGCCAAGGCGGGTGGATCTTGAGGTCAGGAGTTCAAGACCAGCCTGACCAATAAGGTGAAACCCCGTCTCTACTAAAAATACAAAAATTAGCCGGGCATGGTGGCACACGCCTGTAGTCCCAGCTACTCAGGAGGCTGAGGCAAGAGAATCGCTTGAACCTGGGAGGCGGAGGTTGCAGTGAACCAAGATCGCACCACTGCACTCCAGCCTGGGTGACACAGCGAGACTCCTTCTCAAAACAAACAAACAAACAAACAAACAAACACACACACACACACACACACAAAGGAACAGGAAGTCAAGGGGTCAGTAGACGTGGGACTGGGTTACAAAGCTAGCCAGATGCAGAGCCAGGGCTCCCACCCCATCACCTCAGACCCAGGCGAGGTCTCTTCCCCAGGTTGTCTGTGTATTGCTCTCCAATCTATCTTGCCATCCTAGACTTCCAGATCCTTCTCTTTCCCAGTTCACCTTGCTTGGTCCTGCAATTCTCTTCTGGAAAGGCTGTGTGAGCCTCTTCCCAACAAAAGATGGCAGAGGGGAGCATGTTCCCACTGTGCAGGATCCAGCACCTGGCCCCGCCCCTGTGCAGTGGGCATACCGCCCCCCTCTTGCCATGCCAGCTCTCAGGGAAACTGTTCACTGCACAACTTTTTCCATCTCCTCATCCATCCACATCCTCTGTTCTGCTTCGAGTGCTTAATAAGCACCCAGTGTGTCAGGGGCATAATAGCTACCTCCCTGTGTGAGAAGAATTTGCATTTTTTAAAGGAGGGGCTGTTGCTCAATCCAATGTAATCAAGACATAACTGTGAAATTTCAGGCATCAGTAAGAGTTTTTTGGAGGGTATGCTCCATGAAGTCCCTCAAATTACATCACCTAGCAACTGCCAATTCTGACTTTTCATAATGCTTATCCTGACTCCATTTGAGGTGGATATAGCATTTTGACTATTCAGCTATATATGTAAAGCAAACAAATCTGTAGGTGTCTGCTCTCAATCATAGTCCATAGAAAATCCTACATTGGGCTGAAAGGGCACGCTAATCAAGTCATCATGTTCATTGGGTAACAAACCCTATAACCAGGAGCCTTATTTCTAATCACTTACTTATTCTTCTTCTAGTCGGATGGTAAGGGGTAGTGCTACTATAGAAAATGGTATCTACTACAGAATGGCTGTCTACTATGAAAGAATGACTACTCTAAATGAATGGCATCAGCCCGGGTGCCATGGCTCACGCATGACTGTAATCCCAACATTTTGGGAGGCCAAGGTGGGCGGATCACCTGAGGTCAGGAGTTTTAGACCAGCCTGACCAACATGGTGAAACCCCGTCTCTACTAAACATACAAAAATTAGCCAGGCGTGGTGGTGTGTGCCTATAAATACCAGCTACTTGGGAGGCTGAGGCAGGAGAATAGCTTGAACCTGGGAGGCGGAGGTTGCAGTAAGCCGAGATCACGCCACTGCACTCCAGCCTGGGCAACTGAGTGAGGCTCTGTCTCAAAAAATAAAAATAAAATAAAATAAATGAATGGCATCTGCTATAGAATGGCTATTTGCTATAAATGAATGGCAATAAATGAATGGCATCTACTGTAGCATGGTTATCTACTATGGCCAATTCTTCATGCCATCTGTGGAAGGGAGTGATGGAAGCTAAAACATGTTAGCAAACAAGTCAACTGACAATTTGAGTCATCAGAAGCCAGTGGCCAAAAAGAATTTTTCACACGTTAGAGATTGTCAAAGGCCTTTCTTAAGTAGTTATCCATTTTTAAAACAACTCTCCCTTTCTACTGAAAAGAGAGAAGGGTTACTGAAAAACTCTGGAGACTAGAACTCTAAACTCTCATGAAATCTGAGTTCTGTAGCCTGAGAGGGAGGAAAACATTGAATTAACATACATAATGTATAAAGGAAGGCAGTGATGAAATAATGCTCAGGCTTTGGAGTCAGAAAGAATCTCAACCTTCCTTAGAAGTCATGTGATTTTCAGCAAATTACTTAATCTCTTTAAGCTTCAGTTTAGCCATCCGCAAATTAGAGAAAAATAATAATTTATAAGTCCTGGGGTTTTTTGTAGAGACGAAGAGACATAATATACAGAAAGCACTGTGCTGGGATCATTAGTAAGTAATTAATAAATGGTACCAGCTTATTAAAAATTGCACTTTAAGTCTTAAAGCAAAATAAGTCATATCAGTTACTTCAAAAGAGCTTAATACAAAACCACAACAACTTTTAAGATAAAGCTTCTGCTTTGCAAAGTTTACCAAATGAAAGCACGGAAAGGTCAAGAAATACAAAATCCAGAATGTTTCTCCCACAGATCTTGCCAACAAATGGTTTTGTGTCAGGAAAATCACTTGCTAACCCTGAGTGCTTCTCCTACTGCGTGCCCAATCACCCTGCACTCACAGAGGTGCTCTCTTTGTGCCACTTTAAGAAGACACTTTAAGAGGCAGTATTCATTGTAAGCTATAAGAAAGAGCAGATGTCAGTGGAAGACTATTCACTTTTCCTAGGATTCCTTTCTAAAGCTCACGATTGCTTTGTGGGACCAGAAGAAGAGAGAAGAATCCTCTGATGGATCCCCAGACCCCAAACGCATGTCCTTTGGCTATAGTGAAATGGATCTGTAGTATCACAAAACAAAACAAACAAACAAACAAACAAAAAACAGGATGAATTTTACATAATAAAGTACTTCACTTCCATAAACCATCACAGAACAGAAGATCTGTGAAATGTGGCATGAGATATACCAAAGTACCTTTTCACTGTTCTGCCATGGCCATTTTGGAAATATGTTTGCTTTATTGTTCCAAGTCATGGGTGTTTTGTCTTGGGTGAGAATTGAGGACAAGTGAATGCTATTTGAAAGGCTAGTCAAACTGGCAGCTGGGTGGGGAGCAGGGGGACAATATTCTCCAAGTTATCACTCACTCTGTAGTACCATGGGGCATTGATCCAGCTCTATCCCATCCCACCCCTTCACTTTAAATTATGAACATAACTTCCTTAGTTGCCAATCAGAAAATCCTCATCTGACAGAACCAATGTCTTAGCACTAACAGGTAGTAAGCATATACCCTCTATGTAAATCTTTGACACATATTACCTTACTAATAGGTAGTAAGGTACTAATAGGTACTAATACCCTCTATGTAAATCATTTTGGTATATGCTTACTACCTATTAGTAAGGTAATAAGTGTCAAGCTCACTGTCACAAATCCAAATGTCCAGCTTCATTTCAGAGACATTAGTCCATCTTGCTTGAAAGTGTCAGTAGTTTCAAAGCTACAGCAAACCGCAGATGCAAGTGAGCAAATACATCAACCGAAACACATAGGGCATCTAGGTGAAAGTTAATTATTCAAACAAGGACGACAGTACTTATGTACAATTTAATGGGAAAAAATTACACTAATGCCTCCTAATTGGGCAAAAGATTGGTATGATTGAATAAAAAATTAACAAATGCTTTCTGAGGGAAATGTTGATTTATTATCTCCAAGAACATAAGGTAAAGAAAAGAAAACCACTCTGTTAAATGTGTGTGGGACTCTTGCAAGTGATTTAAAAATGGACATTCATTTGTAATTAGTGTATTTGTTATTTGAATAAAATAATTGTCCTGAAGTAGTGAAGATTGGTAGTAATTTACTGATTTGATCCGATAGAATAGGCTGACCACTTTCTCTTTTTGTTTTATAAATCCTCCTCTCAACCTACATGGTATAAAGGTAAATTTTAGCTTAACATGACTAAATTAGGAAAATACAGAATTAGTGCAGTCAAAACTAAAGGGATTTTACTGAAAAAAGAAAAATGCTGTCTTATTTCTTTGTGCCTCTCATCTAGAAAAAAAATGAATGCTTTGCATTCATGTGGACCATGCAAGAGCCAACAGAGCTTCATCAAAATATCCCTCAATGCTCTAGATCTTGGTATTTCTCTGTCTTCCTAGTCCTGTAATGAGACTGAACTTGGCTCATATTCAATCTTCACCCCAGCCCATATTCTTTCTTACCCCAACAGCTCATACCACAAGGATTAAACATTCCTTTAAAATATTGGTTGATCCTTCTGAAGCTGGAGAGAAAGATTGGAACTTCCAGAATCATAATTCCTCCTCTCAAATTCTGGAGACTCTTAACTTGTTTGGTCCTTCCTGGGTAGTTGAGGAAAGCTCTTATCTTGATCCTGGTTCTTAACCTATGTGACACTGGGCAAGTTATTTAAACTCTCTATGTCTCGGTTTCCTCACCTATAAAATAGGTATAATAATATAATAACTGTAGCTCTCACCTGAGGTTGTAGTAAAGTATAAATGAAATTATACATGGAAAGCATGCCAGATCAGAGCCTATAGTAAACACTCAACAAATCATCATCAGCAGCAGCAGCATCATTATTTTACTTGAGTTTCAATATAATTTCCAGCACCGTAAACACGACAGTGCTTTCATCTTCCTCTATATTCTGATTCTCAGATGCCAAGAAACACCATCCACTCTGGGTGAGGGTCTGCCTGTTTTGTCAGTGATTCCCCCTTTGGCCATATCTGCTGTTCTATGTGGTCGTAGCCACCAACTGGGCATGTACCTCTGATAAAAAGGCATTCATTTGCTAGCTACTCTGCAGTGATGTGTTTACTGTGAACAAAGACGTGAGGGAGGAGGGGGAATAAATCAGAAACAGTACAAGCAGGTTATTTTTCTAGCTGCCTAACACATTATCTGCATGCAGCTAAGGATTGCGCTATCCAAATATTACATAAAGGGCCAGGGAGACACCTCAGTAAACATTCTATCTGCATTTGTCTGAAATAATAAAAAGTGTCCCAAAGTTGGAATCGCTTCAAATGCATTTGGTGTTTTTCTTCTTTTTTTAGACCCTACCATTAGTATACCAACCCACTAATTGATTCTCAAGAGTGTAAAAACAGGTAACTTTATGCCTGTAAAATAACTCCTAGCCCTGTTTCACCTACAAGACAGTATCTTAGCCAGTTTGGGCTGCTGTAACAAAATACCATAGACTGGGTGACTTAAGCAGCCAACATTTATTTTGCACAGTTCTGGAGGCTAGGAAGTCCAAGATCAAAGTGCTGGCAGATTCGGTGCCTGGTGAGTGCCCTCTTTCTGATTTGTAGATGGCCATCTTCTTCCTGTGTCCTCACATGGCCGAGAAAAAGGGAAGACTCTTGTCTCTTCCTCTTGTTCTAAGGGCATTATATTAGTCCATTTTTCTACTGCTGTAAAGAACTACCTGAGGCTGGGTAATTTATAAAGGAAAGAGGTTTAATTGACTCACATTTCAGCATGGCTTGGGAAACCTCAGGAAATTTACAATCATGGTGGAAGGCAAAGAGGAAGCAAGGCACCCTCTTTGCAAGGCGCCAGGAAGGAGAAATGCCAAGCAAAGAGGGCAAGAGCCCCTTATAAAACCATCAGATCTCATTAGAACTCACTCACTATCACAAGAGCAGTATGAGGGAGCAACCCCCATGATTCAATTACCTCCACCTGGTCTCTCCCTTGACACATGGGGATTATGGGGATTATGGGAATCTCAATTCAAGATGAGATTCGGGTGGGACACAAAGCTTAACCATATCGAGCACTCTTCTTATAATCATTTTCTTATCCCATAAGGGGGCTCTATCCCCATGTCCTCATCTAAACCTAATTACCTCCCTACCTACCTCAAATACCATCACATTGGGGATTAGGGCTTCAACATATGAACAGTGGGTGTGGGAGGGGGAAAAACATTCAGTCTATAGCAGCAAGAATAAATGGAAAATTCAGAATATAATTTTAGAAGCAAGGCCGTCTAAATGAAAAGGTGACAGGTAACAGGCTCCTCAATCTTTCCCTGATGTCCAGTGGCTTTTGATTTCTCTAACATCCTGTGACCCTCAACTGAGGGAGAGGAGGAGCTCTGTGGAGAATACTAACAGCAGGCAAAGACTTCTGACTTCTAGACGATGCTCCTCCCTCCCTGATGGAACTCCTCAAGGGGATAGTCTCGGATGCAACAGTAATGGGTTTGAAGGTCAACTATGTACATGTCCAAATCAACTGGTAGAACACAGCCATTGCATTAAGGGGTCATACATAAAGTCACAGGAATAATCAGAGGACAAAGAAAGAAGCAAAATTCCTAAAGTTCTAATAATGCCTTATTTTAATTTCTACAGAAGTCCTCTTTTATTTGGAGCACAAAAATTTCTTTTTTTCTTTTTTGGCACCAAAGCACTAAAAAATGTTACCACCAGTGGCTGCAACTAACAGGGTATCCTTGAATAAAATCAGTTAATTTTTCTGATCCTCAGTTTTCCTACCATATAAAGAAGACTGCATTACTTCATGGATTGTTTGAAGATGAAATGAGATGATGCAGATGTACAGAACACATGGAGGAAGCTCGCTAAGGTTTGTTCTCCTGGGAGAACATTCTCTCTCAGCTGTTTTCCAGCCCTGATGCTCAGCGTGTGCACTTCCAGAGTCAGCATTCACAGAATGCACAGTTTTCCAGAGGGACGGTGACTGCGCTGCATGTAATTTCAAAGCTGGTGCGCTGACATTGCCCTTCAGCTAACTTCCAGCACACTTCAGGCCTGTGTTCTGTGCTCACTGCCTTAGCATTGCCAGTGTAGGTTTGCGGGGTAAATATGTGTCAAGTGGCAAAACTCTTCCCACTAAAGATCTAGAGAAGAGAGAGCTTCATCAAATACATACCTTAGCCCACAGCTTGGCTTTTCATCTGTTTAGCTGCTGAGTTGTTTTGTTTTTGCCACATCAAAAAAAAAAAAAAAGGTATAGCACAACTCTGTAAGTGGTGGCCTGGAGAAGCTTATGTGCATTAAGTGTGTTAGGCTTGAAGTTTTTTGTCTTCTGATTTATATGTTGATAAATTCCTGCACCTGAACAAGGGACTAGTTAAGCCAGACACATGTTAACACTAACACAAGTACAAATAACTTTTCGGGTGCTAACTGTAAAACAGTAGACAGAGAAGATGGGGGTATGGAGATACATAAGAATGATTGATTGATAAATAGATAGATAGGTGGATGGATAGATGATGAATAATCGTTGAAAGATAAATAGGTGATAATTGATACAAAGTTGGTGCAAAAGTAATTGCGGTTTTTGCCATTACTTTCAATGGCAAAAACCGCAATTACTTTTGCACCAAGCTAATAGAAACTAGAGAATAGATGATAGATAGACAGATATAGATATAACTTTATATACATTTTAATATGATATGTACACATACTTTGTACGTATGTTTTGTAACACAGATGCTTAAAATTAAGGAAACAGTGATCTTCTAGTCTAACACCTCACATTATAGACTGAAGAGACTGAGGCCCAGGAAAGTGAAGGGTCGAGCTCAGGTCACAAAGCAGACTCCAAGAAGCAACCCAGAGCTTCTTCCTTGTTTGTGCATTCCCCATCCCATTAGAATAGGGCAAATGAACAAGGAAAGGATGAGAGAAGAAATCTGACCAGCCAAGAATCATCTGTCTCCTCCTGAAGGGATTCAACCTGGGTTTTGCAGTAATACCAACTGGGCCACAGGGATTCTAAATGTTCATTCTGCAGGACAGCATGTCCTATAAAACCAGCCCCAGCCATGGAAAGCCTGGCTGTAAACCCCAGCCCTAAAAACTCTTAACACTACCATTTTATGGCAAAGCTCACATGTAAGACAGAGCCCTATGGGTCATCTCTATGGGTCACGTGGGATGGAGATGTGTATTCTCTCCTGCTCCTGTGAGCTCCTCTCTTTTGGTAGCCACCCAATGGGGAGTGGCTGTCAGCAATTTCCTTCCTCCAACAGCTGGGAGGTGGTTTTCTGCAGTTAGCTGCCATTTGTAGCAATTATGTGTATTAATCATAGCCTTCATCCTGATGGTATTCTTCAGGAAAAAAAATATATATACATATCAGGGCTTTTGTTTTTTAACCAAGCTGCTTCCTCACTCAGAACAGAATTTGGTAGTAGCAAGAGAAAAAGAAAATAATCAGAGATTATTTAGGTTAGTGCAGTGGGGGGTGAGCAGGCATGTGGGGACACTGGGCCCACTGAAAGCCAGGAAGTCGATAATGCAACTTGGGGACAGTAATATCCTAATATTACAAACACATGGAGAACTCAGCTAATTTGTAACGATGGCATTCATTCTTTCATTACATATTAATTCATGTATTCAAACATTTATTGAGCCCTTACTATATGCCAGATTGCATATTTCTTCTAAGAACTCCAGTTGTGTTTTAAGAACAAAACCAAAGGTAATTAGGAATTATTTCAGAAGCAGAGTGCATTATCTCACATCACCCTTGCCCATCTGTGCCCTCTTGGGCCTATCATTCCCTCATTTTTTATTTATCACATATTTATAGCAAGAGAACTCTGAAGCAGAGAGCTATGTGTGAATATTCACTGGTGAACAAAGCTGCATAGGGCTTGTCCTCATCAATCTTGCATTGTAGTGAGGGAGACGGCCCTCAAACAAAGAAAAGCCTACAGATGGACGTAACTTTGAATCGTGCTAAAAACTCCGTGGAGACAAGATCAGGGTGGAATAAGAGGAAAGAGAAAGTAGAAGGAGCTAATTTAGATGAAGAATTAAGGAAGCTCTTGAAGAAGCAGGGTTTAAACGGAAACCTGCAAATGAGTACGAGTTAGCCTTTGGGAGGGGAGGGAGAGCAGAAAAGAGCTTGATGAATTTGAAGGCTAATGGGGCAAATGCACCAAGAGTAACAAGAGAGCAGTGTAAGAGGAAGTTGCAGAGGTGGCCAAGTGCTACCTGCTGGGCTTTGCAAACCTTGCCAAGAAGTTTGGACTTTATCCTAAGAAAAATGGAAACCATTAAAGGGTTTTAAGCTTAGAGAGACAGGGTATGATTTATACTTTAAAAAGATCACTCTGGCTGCTATGTAAATAATCCACTGGAGGAGCTGAGTGAGTCAGGGAGACTATTGGTAGGCTTCTGCAGTTATGCAGGTGATGAGTGATGGCGGCACGGACTTGGATAGTGACAGTAGAGATGGAGACATGGGGATGAATCTGAGGGTTTTGTTGATTTGTTTTGTTTTGTTTGGAGATGATCTTGCTTTGTCACCCAGGCTGGAGTATAGTGATTTAATCATAGCTTACTTCAGCCTTAAACTCCTGGTCTCCAGTGATCCTCCTGCCTTAGTCTCCCACCTCAGTCTCCTGAGTAGTTAGGACTACAGGCATATGCCACTATGCCCACATCCAACTAATTGTTTTGTTTTTTTTGGGGGTAGAGACTGTGTCTCACCATGTTGTCCAGGCTGGTCCTAAACTCCTGGCCTCAAGCAATCCTCCCACTTTGGCCTCCCAAAGTGCTGGGATCACAGGCCTGAGCCACTGTACCCATCCTGGATCTTAGTTTTTTTGGTTATTGTTGTTGTTGTTGTTTTTGAGATGGAGTCTCACACTGTCGCCCAGGCTGAAGTGCAGTGGTGCGATCTCAGCTCACTGCAAGCTCCACCTCCCGGGTTCACGCCATTCTCCTGCCTCAGCCTCCCAAGTAGCTGGGACTACAGGCACCCGCCACCACAACAGACTAATTTTTTTTTTTTTTTTTGTATTTTCAGTAGAGATGGGGTTTCACCGTGTTAGCTAGGATGGTTTCGATCTCCTGAACTCGTGATCCACCCACCTCGGCCTCCCAAAGTGCTGGGATTATAGGCGTGAGCCACCGCGCCCGGCCCTGGATCTTAGTTTTAACTGAGGGGTAAAATCAATAAATCTGTTCAATCTTTGAGCCTTTATTTGGCTTACTTATTACAAAGCAGCTAAAAGTAGCTGCTTGGCCTATAGTGAGACTATAGTGAGGACCTAATGAGATAAAAGTTCAATGGTATACATGTAAGATATTGTTATTATCATGGTAATATGACCATTGTGATTCTATCCACTTCCAGTTGTTTCAAAACCTCAACTTGTAAGGGACAATTAGCCTAATCTAACCATGGAAATACGAGGAGCATCCCTACCTTCGTCAAGATCCCGGTGGAAGTGGGTAGAGGGGTGCATTTAGGCTCTGTTCTTCCCGGGCCTAACACCATCCCACGGCAGAAAACTGGGCACTGAAGAAGGCTTAGTCATGCTTTGAGGTCCCTAGAGTTCCACTAGCTGCTGAGCCCCCAGCTAGTCTATTACCACTATAGTGCCCTAAATTGCATCATAAGGGCCCACAAGAGTTGTTTCATTACCTAATTTGCTGTAGGGAGTGCCTTGGGCACAATTGACCCAGAAAATTGCCATCCAGCATAGCCTTATATTCTTTAAGAATTCCCAGAAACAAAATAATGCCCCAAGAGATCAACAAACTTCAAGTGCAAAATATGTTTTCTGTGGGGTGATACAGTTGTATGTGTATATATAGCAAAATCTTATTTGAAATGTGAAGTCCATGGAGGAATGATTCAACCTTTAAGAGCCCACAGGTCTCAAATGTTTGTCTTTTTTTTTTTTTAATTCTACAATGTGTTGCATGCTTTGCCTATTTTAAGAAGCAGAGTATGTTGGGCATAATTTGCTTAATTAATAAAATGTTATTAATCCCATATTCTGGGTTCTGCCATCATCTTTTTATATTTTCTTGGATAAATCATCTATCTTTTCATATGTAAAAGTAGGCTTTTTCACTAGATTGGGGCTTCACAAGATCTTTTTAGTAAACAGCCAATTTTGTTTTATTTTGTTTTTTAGATTTTTCCATCCTTTCAGATCAATACATGCCCTACTGTGAAGAACTACCAGCTCATGCCACATATGACTCACCAAGTAAGTTTTAAAATGCTGAACTGTTTGACACCCTCTTGAATGAGACCAGTCCACTCTCCCTCACCTGTGTGTTCCCACACATGGAATTACTACAAAAGTGCTTAAATGCTTACTCTCAGTTTCCATATTTATATCCTTATGGATTAGTAACAAACAGCTCTTGGACGGCACTGATGTGCAGGAAACACCTTGAGCAGCCCTGAACTAGATAATCTCTAAGCTACAACCAACCCAAAGAGTCTAAAATTGTATGATCTTCATGAATATCAATTATTTCACTGGTGCTATAATAGAGCTTGTAAGAGAGGTTGGTGCCTGAAAGTCCTTTGCTTGAGTTCTCCGTGATTTCTGAGTGTACTTTTCTGGTTTAAGAATGCACTTGGTTTTCTTAAGTTCTCTTGAGGTTGTTGCTTTTGACCTAAAAGATTCTGGTCTCCTGAGCTATGTATGTTCTGTTAGGATTTCCTTCTGTGGTCTTCCTTGGGGTACTTCTGTCCCGGCTTTATTTTTCTCACTCAATGAAGATTTGACAACTTCCAAAGTTCTCCACCAATTTCACTTGCTGTCTCTAACCCTCCCACCTGGTATGGAAACTAGACCCTAAGTCCTCTGGCTAGCTCTATTCCTTTCCAAGGGAAAAAAAAAAAAAAAAAAAAAAAAACTATGGTTGTGAGACAGTTTTCTCCTCTTGCTTAAAGACTCTGTGCCCCCTTTTCTCTGGCTAACTTGAGATTCACAGTTGCCTCGGAAGTTCCAAAATTCCAATAGCTAGATAAAGGGCTTATTATTTTCTTACATTTCTTTGAATAATGAATAAAAATGAGATAATGGGGATAATTTCTGAACAGTCTTCTTAATACAAAATCTAATTTTAAAATTTATCAAAATAATGAAACATGTAAAAATATGTCTCAATCCTGAGAGTACTTATTTCCTGAACCAGTCACTTTTACTTTTTAAGAATAAAATATAACTACTAAAATGGCATAAATACTAAACAAACACTAGTTATCTTTATATCATACAGCCTCAGATCTGGATAAGGAATGGCAGTAAATCCACTTAAGAACTTAGCGCAATTAAACAAGTTAAAGGAGTCAGAGGGACAATATATTAATAGCAAGGAGGCTGATTGGCAAGGCAGGCCTTTGGTCAAGGACTTGCTTTCTACACAGCAAGGATTTGAACTGGCAGACCACAGAAATGGAATCATCTCTGGTTCCTGCCAGTTCTAACATTCCATGATTATGTGATATGACACTAAGGTTCATTTCACTTTGAGGAACCATGCACGGGAAATAACTATACAGGGAAAGAAACCAAGCAACAGCAACCAGAGACTTGCTGTAATTTTAGCAGCTGGTTTTCCTTAGCTTTCTCACCACCACAGAACATTTTGTTAGAGGCCTACTTGAGTTTCCACAGCTAAAACTGGGGATGGCTGCCAGAGAGAAAAACCTGCAGGAAGAGTTTCAGTATGCAGGAATGAGAACAAAGCATTACAGACAGAAAAGAAACAATACAGAATAGCAAATCTCAACTGAGTACCAGACTAGTTCAAAAATCTAAGCCCTGAAGAGTGTAAGTAATTTTTCTAAAGCTACAAATCTGGCAAGTGGCAGAGCCAAAATCCTGGTCAGTATGTTCAACATCAGTGGGTTGAAACACTGCACTGCATTGCCTTATCCATACAAAATTTTGCACATGTTTTCAAGGGGCTCAGAGATCCCAGGTTAAAAAATATTTGCTGGGAAGTACAAACATTGATCTCTTTATCAATATAAATCATTCTTTCATATGATTGAAAACCACTATATTCATTACTCATACTGTACCTTCTACAGATGTACACATATATTTTTTGACATTTAGTTCTTCCCTCACCAGCCATAACTAGAAATGAAAACATGTTTGCAATAGCCATTCTCACTCCATTTGTAATC
This sequence comes from Homo sapiens, assembly GCF_000001405.40. Taxonomy (NCBI): domain Eukaryota; kingdom Metazoa; phylum Chordata; class Mammalia; order Primates; family Hominidae; genus Homo; species Homo sapiens. The sequence continues at coordinate 78,612,296 of NC_000014.9, read as the reverse complement.
CTTTCAAGACCCAAAGAACTAAGAAACTTGATCTCAGATCTTTCCAGAATTTAGAGTCTACTAAATGATATTTCAACAGAAGATGAGGGTGCTATGACAATCCAACCAACAGGATGTAAGAAAGCAAGTTTAAACTACAGCAACAACTTAGAGAAGGGTTTTCCTCATGCCAAGTCCATCAGTGATGTCCTCTGGACCTCAATGTACCACGGTCTTTTGCAAAACAGAAAGCTGTTGGCCACCAAAATGCCCCCACTTTCAAGTCAAAGAGCACACCACGCCCTTCTGCATACCAAGATTTCATGATTATATAATGATGCAATAGGAGGTAATGAGCAGATAGACGTCTTGGGTTTAAAGAGTAAAAATGAAAACAAAAATAAACCAATCTTATCAACAATTCAAAGGCACTTGTCTGGAAGAATCTGTAAGTGACTGGCAATATAAGTAAAGATCTAAAGACCTTCTGAAGTCTCAAAGCCTAGAAGACTTTCTCTGCACCTGCAGATTATTCAGTAAGAAGATAGGGTGCTAGTAAAGTGGGTAGAAATTGGTGACTCTGAAGTTTTTCATGTCGTAGAAAGGAAAGAGTCCTGTCTAGGGGCTAGAAAATCTGACTTGCAATGCAGCTGCTGACACTTACTTGCCTGATCTTGGGTTCAACTTCTCTGAGCCCCTTTAAAAATCTGCAAAATAAACATCAGTGTCTAGGCCCTACCTGTCTTCATAGGGTTGCCTCACCCTCCAAATGAAAAAGCAATGTATTTGAATGTGCTTTGGAACTTGTAAGTCATCATGCAAATAATTGCATTATATATGTATGCTTTCTGGTATATCCATAAGTGATTCAGAGAGAAGGAAAAAAAAAAAAGAGGAGGGAAAGGAAGTACAAAAAAGAGAAGCTATAGAAGGGAGGAATGGGAGAGAAACCAGGAGGAGGGAGAAACTGGCATGGAAATGAGGGAACAAAAAGAACGGAAGGGAAGTAAATAGAAACTGGTGCTGGTACAGTAACAAATAAATCCCCCCAGCATGACAGCCTTCTGCTGAAGCATTTCATTTTCCCACAACATAATGGTGTGTTATTGCCCATTATCTGTTCTGTCAGTGCCAGAGTCGATATTAAATGAGGGGCAGCTGCATTTAGCTGCCATTTTTCAGCTGTCTTCACGTTGCCATGGAGGCCCGGTTGTTTCTTGGTGAACCTGCCAGGAAAGCAAGGAGGAGTTGGGTGGAGGGGGAGCAAATGCTGCATGGAGTTGGGGTGTCAGGGAGGGAAGTGAGAGGAAGGCCAAGGGCCAGGGGCAGGGGAACATGACAAAGGAGAGAACAGCATGGAGCTGGCTTATCATTCTCTGCTTCCACCTGATAAATCAGTCATTTCCAAAACACAATCTATATTCCAGTGGTCCTATGCAGCAGATTCTCCTCTGCATTTCCTCTCAACTCATATTCTACAGCAGCTGAGTGGATGTGGAGTTCCGAGTAATTGTAGATTTCTTCCTTCAACTCCTTCCCTTTCTCCCCACACCTGCCCCCCATGGTTTCACCTGCACCTTGGTGTCAACCTTAGAGAATGGCTTTGGATCTCTCAATCTCCAACATTCAGAATACAAAAACCAGTTTCATCAAGGACATCAATACCTGGGCTCTGCCCAACCTGTATGTTTTCTCTAGAAGGTATTTGGTTTTTTCACAGAATCATCAACTACTTAAATCTACATAGGGTTTTAGAAACCAGTGAGTGTTTCCCCATTACAAATTTTAATATCAAACAGAGACAGTTTGCAAATAAGAGAAGGGGACCTGGCATGAGAGACCAGCACACACCCCAAGTGATGAGCCTTGAGGACCTAGAAACCTGATTCTTTGCCCAAAAGGGGCAGCAATGCTTACGCCCTTGGAAGAGCAGGAGCCTGGTTGGCCAGATCTTAGGATTTTTCAACAGAATCCAGAAATCTATTTTTGAATAAAATTATTTAGCTTTGAATAAATAATAAAAATGAACTTATTATGGAAGAAGCTACCTCAATTGACAAATTTCCAATTTTTAAACGTTGGCTCAGCTTTTTAAAATATTTCCACGTGCTAGTTGCATGGGCTGTCAGTTTGCAGCTGGACTTAGTCCAACATCATTTTAAAATGAGGCTAAGAAAGGCTAAGATACTTGACAAAACTCTTCACCTTCCCAAATGTAACTTTCCATTCCATAATCTAATTTGTCACTTTCTTTCTCTCTCTCCTCTCTCTCTCTCTCTCTCCCTCCCTCTCTCCTCCCTCTCCTTCTCTCTATCTCACATTCTGTTACATAGTAGAAGGTAAAGACAGCTGTGAATTCACTTCTTCAAGGATCCCTGTTTGCTGGTACCATGCATGGACTTGCATATGAGGTAAACGTTTTCCAAGATCCCTGAAAATTGTGTGCCAGGTATCAGAAGGAGATCACAGGGTATTTTCCTGGCAGCCCAAGCCCCATTAGTACTTGTGCCTGTAGTGCCTTTTCCACTACAAGCATACTTTTGCTGGCTTTTAATTACCAATTATAAAAATAAGCAAAGTGGTAATTTATTGAACACTTACTAGGTGCCAAAAAGTATTTAACATGTACTTTCTGATTAAATTCTCACAAGAACTCCTGGAGTCATATATTATTATTACCCCATTCAACAGATGAGAATGCTGAAGGTCAACCAAGGTCATGCAGCTAGTATGAGATCAGGCCAGGAATCCACTCACATCTTTCAGAGCTCAAAGCTCAAGTGCTTAACCACTAAGTTCTACCATCTCCCTACAAACTAAGAAAATCACAGAGCCTACTTTCATGATATCCTATTCATTTCCTTCTTAGTCCCAAACTTTAAAGTAGTGTGACCGTTTTTGCCAGGACCTGGGTTTCTCCATCATCCTCCTAAACAGTAAGTTTAATTAATAACATCTTTCATTAGAATCCTGGCTTTACTTTCCTAAGTTTACTTTCACCTGTGCCACCTCACCCTTTTTTTTTTCATGGAGGTTATCTCATGATATCTGCCTATCTCTACCCTGCCCTTAACTACTTCCTCCTCCAAATGACAGCTAGCATGATCTTTCCACGTGTAAATAGGATCACATGATTCTCTTCCTTCTCAAGTCAATCAAGGTCTCCAGCTATTAGTTTCAAGATGAATCTCCATCCTGACTGAGCTATTCAAAGTCTTTCTGATCTTATTTACTTCGTGACCTGGCCCAGCTGTGCCCTGAATCCTATCCCCATTCACTCCCTCCCAAAGCATACTTAATGCCCGTAGTATTAACCCACCCATAGCTTCCCAAATATTGTAGATTGCTACAAGCCTCCCTATGCCCAGCCCTTTTTCTGGAATACCTCTCCACCCCCACCTTACCAATCTGTGTCCTACTCACACTTCCCAACACAGTTTAAGCTTCCTCTCCTCCAGGCAGCTGTAGTGATCCCCATGTCTAAATCAGATACCCCTTCTCTGAGTGTCCTCTGCCCCAGGGGTAGCACTATGGTAATAATTATCATATTACACTGTAATCTTCTCAGAGGGGAGCGACCCAGGCTAGGCTATTCAATTCTGCATCCTGGAACATTGTGCATTGTCATTAAATGGTTATTGAGTAGATTACCCATCTCAGTCGACAAAGAAATAAGGTAATTTCTAAATCTGTATATATACCCTTCCTGGCATTAAATATAATGGATCAAGTGACACTGAGCTTAATAAGAAGGTTTTCCTTGTTGGTACTACACCCTGTACCAGGATTCCTAAACAATGTCCCACTAGTGAGGATTTAGTGCAGCATATACACAAATATGTAAATAAATACAAATCTGTATAAATTAATCTATTTATGTGAAAACAGTAAAGAGAAATGTTTTAATACACAGTGATGTTTGGGCTATATTCTACAGAGTGGCTTTGGATGATAACCATGGTAGCATGTCTCTCTTTTGGCTGAAGGTATATCTAGGTTAGGGTTTTCAGAACACAACTGACATCTCTTATTCTCCATCCAAGCATCCTTAAGTGGGGGTGGGAAGTTGTAACATTTCAGACCCACATCAAAGACTCCGTTGTGTCCTCTGATGCCAGTGGACAGCAAGTGACTCCTATCCCAGACCTATGCAGGCTAAAACTACCACCATCTCCGCCAAGACTCTCAGAGTCCAACTTCTGTTTCATGTCTCTGGTTTTCTTTATACCTTAATATTGTTTTCTTAATACCTTAACATTATTTTCTTAACAAAGGGCCATTTCCCTCCTGTCTCCATTTTTAAACTGGAAAACTTAGAATTTTCTCACATCACTTACACACTAACCAACTTCTCAAGTTCCCCTAACAGCTACACTCCTCTTGCTTTATGGTGCAAAAGAGCACTTAGAAATGTTCCTACCAGTCAACTCTTCTACTCTAGAATGTTAAAAAGCCTAGGCCAAAAAATGTCACTGAGGGGCTCTGTGAATATCTGAGGATGTAAGAGGGATAGACTGCCATTTCTTTAAGTAGACACACACACACATCCACAGAAACCTTAACACAGATCGTGGAGAATAGCAACATAGTATGCCTGGTTCTTCCCTTACTTATCAGAATGGAACTGTTCAGTTTCACTCAAATAATAAATTTGGTAGGAATAAATCTCATCTGAAAGCTCTCCATGATAAGGTCACAAGAATAAACACTCTTCCCTCTACACATCTGTATCCTGAGTCTCTAGCACAGCACCAGGCAAATAGCAGGTGCACGATAATAGTATTGACCCAAAGAAGGCACTGTGGGGACTTCCAGACTCATAGCTGGGCCAATGACGAAGGAGAGGACTGAGCCAAAGGAGGTGAGATCACTGTGTCAGGGAAGCGGATCAAAGCCTGGGTTTGCCTAAAGAGACAGTTGTCCTGCCTGAGTTCTTACACCTTGGTCCTTTAGGATTAATAAAGGAGCCAGCTCAAAGGGGGCAGGCCAAAAAGGATCAAATGCTTTCATGGAAGCTCAGCGGGAAAGGATTCCATATATTAGAATTCATCTCTGATTGCTCAAACTACTGATCCTCTTGTAATGAATAAAATATGCCACTGGAATGAATGCTTCATATTAATAAAGACATGATTTGGTCCTCTGAGGTGTAGGGAAAGGAGTATTCTCCCAGGGAGGAGACAGAGCTCTTTCTCTACACCTCTAAAACTTATCAAAGGCTGCTTACAAAAACTTACAATGCCCTCAGCTCCAACAGACAATGGGGCTGTGATCATAGAAATTATGAGCATGCCAGCCAGAATCAGGGAATTCAACCTAGGAGGATGGGGAACAGGAAAACGAAGACTACCTAAAACAATGAAAGCTTAAGGAAAATGTTTCTCTCGCAGTAAATAAATATTTCTCACAATTTCTATTGAGACACTTAGGTTTATACGTTACTTAAAAACAATCATCATACTTTTTTATTCCCCAATAAACGCTTACTCCATTTGTGGAAAAGGTCATGTTTTGGCTTTGCAACAGAGAGTATATGGTGTTTGTCAACAACACGCTGGCAGGTACTAAACCAAACATGCCCCCTGAGTTGACTGTCTCCTGGGAAAGAAAGCCCTGGCTTCATCAGGAACTGGAGCATTAAACTAGCAGCATATTTTAGTCCAAAACATATTTATCGAGCATCTAGGACACTGTGTTAGGTTCCAGAAATATAGATTTCAATAAAACATGGCTTTTCACTTAAGAAGTTCACAGCCTAGCGGGAGAGACCGTAAGTGTTTATTTAAATACAATGTGCTATCAGAGTACAGGGCAGGCAAATTCAGTAAAACTAAGGAAGGGACAAAGATAGGCAGGGAAGGTTTTCTCAGTGATTAAAGAGCTGAGTTAGTCTAGAAGAATGAGTAAGAGTTGGTTAGGGGGAAAGACAGAGAAGAGTTTCCAGGCCAAGGAAATCACATGATCAAAGAAAACTGAAGTTGGTATTTCCTGACTAAAAAAAATGTCAGATGAGGGCATGGCCTTGCCATATGACTACAGAGGAATCATAGGGGAAAGTCATTCAAGAGTCATGCATTGAGCATAGCTTGTATTTTTAGCACAAATCCATTTTTAGATGTTAATGTGTAAATTTCTAGAAAAATGTGGTTATTGCCATAAGGGGAACAGATGTCTTTGATTTTTCTAGTTTAAAGAAATCCAGCTTTTCTTCTAGTCTTGTACCCATGTCCCTTGTCCTGCTTGATCTTTTTTTCCTCTCTCTTCTTAGTCTCCACCTCCTCCTCAAATTCTTGTGCTGCTTGAAATAACCATCATCTATCCTTCTTCACACATTTTGTCATTCTGCTAATCCTAAGGAATTAAAAACATGTATACACACTCGCACACTTATAATCACATGAAGACACCATATGTTGAACTTTGTGATTATTTTATTATTTTAAAAAATCTGACTGCAGCAATCCTCTTTTAAAAAGTGGTTCCAATATTTACATGTAGCAGCTTTGTACACCAATGAAAACTGAAGCTTTTTTAAACATGGTTTACTACTACACCATTTAACACGTATAAAATGTGATTCTTCTTTTTGTTTTATTTTTTTTAAAGAAATCCCAACAAATGTAGATGTTCAAATATAGCACTTCTGGCTTCTGTTTGTAAAGACTGTAAAATGAGTAAAGATTTGATAGAAAAATACCCAGAGATGGCGCCTCCCATATATTTTTATGATCATGTGTAATAAAGTTCCTTGCCCAGTAGCATTTTTATATGACATTAAATTCCAGAATCTCACAGGGTTAGTTTTGATCTGACCTGAATGTCAAATTAGAGGCCAGAGATCCAATATATATTATTCACTTGGATATTTTTCCCTCTGAATTTCTTTTAATATTTCAACGGCATTACTCAAATAGAATTTCTTTCTCCTCCTTTTATAGGGCAGAGTCATTTACTTCCAGCAGAATCTGTGTGTTAAGAGTTCAGTGTTTCCCTTTGAGCTTCCAGGAAGTGCTTTAACTTATACAGTTAGATGTCAAGATACTAATGACTCCTTGTTCTTGAAGAGTGAAAACTGTGACATCAAAGGTGAGTTGTCTCATCAAAATACAGCAGGCTTCCTCTTGAGCCTGAGGGAAGATGATGACTTAAAACTCAAAAGGACCAAAGATGACTCCAGGTCAACTTGTGGGGTGGAGATGAGGAAGTAGTAGGGGAAAAAAAATCGAAATCCTTTGCCTTGTACTAGATCTCTTTAGAATCATGCCTTTAGGAAAATTTCTCTGAGAAAAATCTTTGAATGTGACTCTGGGGAACAGGCTTCTGACAATATATTTTCTAAATTTGATCTTGAATATCCTTTGAGACTGTCTTGAGAATTAGGACTCCGTATTTAGTCTCTGGTCTGTCATACACCCATGCTGTAAGAAAGTTATTGAAACAGTGCTTTCAATACTTTGAACATGGATCTTTATTGTTATCATTCATAATTGACTACTAAGGGGGCTCTTATGAATTTCTAAGGTTGAACAGCCTAGAGGGTAAAAGGTTTTCTCTTGATATTCTTATATGGCATCTCACAGGGAGGTCTGAACATGAGTGGTTGGGCCTCTTTGCCCAGTCAATGTCTTAACTCCTCCAGACTCAAATTCCTCTTCCATAAAATAAACAGAATGAAGGGGATCTCTAAAATCCTTTGCAGGGCCAAACAGGCAGCTAGGTTAGAAGTAAGCTAATTCTCACTTTTCCCATTTATAATCAACATGAGAATAGACCTCAGAAATGTTAAAAAGGATTTTGCTTTAACTTAATACTAAATTTCCTATTTCTCACCACAGAGTAGTTAGTACTCAACTGCAGCCCTTGGTTAGGAGGTTCTTTTTTCACTCTCTTCTTGGGTTATTTCTCTTTACAATGATACCGTAAGTATTTAGGGATATTCCTGTGACTCTCTTGTCATCCCTGCACAAAAATAAGTGAGTGAATAAACGATACTTGTAAATCAAAAAAAAAAAAAACAAATGACCAAGAGAGGATGACATGGTTTGGCTGTGTCCCCACCCAAATCTCATCTTGAATTGTAGCTCCCATAATTCCCAAGTGTTGTGAGAGAAACCCGGTAGGAGATAATTGAATTATGGAGGCAGTTTCCCTCATACTGTTCTTGTGGTAGTGAATAAGTCTCACAAGATCTGATGATTTTATAATGGGTTTCCTCTTTCACTTGGCTCTAATTCTCTCTAGCCTGCCTCCGTGTAAGACATCCCTTTGCTCTTCCTTCATCTTCCGTCGTGATTGTGAGGCCTCCCTAGCCAAGTGGAACTGTGAGTCCATTAAACCTCTTTCCTTTATAAATTACTCAGTCTCGGGTATGTCTTTATTAGCAGCATAAGAACGGACTAATACACAGGAGAAGAGGGAGCAGAAAAATCTGAGATCCAAATTCTTATTTTCATAACTGTGACTGTCGGTGCCAACAACTTCATTTCCAATGACCATCTAGCCTATGAAGGCCATGGCTCATGGGGCTAGTCTAGGTGCTCCTGATCCTTGACACTGTCCATCCAAAGTCAAAGGGGTCCCAGCAGGCAAGGAGAGGTCTTGTCCTAATGATGTTGGTGGTTATTTATTAATCACAGCCCACATTCACAAAGAAGCAAGCAGTAAAATGAACATGTGTAAGGCAACCGCAGCTATTATCATAATTTCTAATTATAACTGTTTAGAGGTCTTTCAAGAAATATAATTAAGTTTAACATGCCAAGTGATAAAGAAAAAATATTAATCCATCTTCTGTCCTTTCCTACCACCCACCGATAAGTCCTCTCTCTTTCTAAATTATATGTAAAATACTCTACACTTGCTCTGTGTTTTCACAAGTGGCACGGTCAAAGGGAATTTATCCCTCAGAGGACAAGGCAGTTGGCTGGGAACCCCACAGCTGCTGCAGGCAGCCCAGGATTTCAGTTAAAGGGCTCTTGATTGCAAACCTCAAGAAAAAGCAAGAAAAAATATATCAAAACATGATGGGTAAAGAAATGAGGGTCCTTGTAAAGTAGGCAGGCAGGCCTTTTAATGCCATCAAAACAAACAGGGCAGGAAAGAGAGCAGCAGGTGGGCAATGCAGAAGACCTTTGGGAACCCTGGGGAAAGGGAAAGGGAATGAAGAGATTTCAGGCCTGGGCAGGGGACACGCTGCTTCTAACCATTTTTTCTTGGGAGAAAATTTTATTTAGCTCCACTGTCTACTACCTCTCAGAAAAAGAAACAAAAAAAGTGCCAAGAAATGGTTGAATTTGGAATAAGAAGACCCCAGCTTGCCAACTTGCTGCCATGTCTCCCCACGCTAAGCACAGAACAGGCCTGCAGGCTCCTGACACTCTCTTAACCCTATGCCATGAACTGAAGGGCAGGGGACAAAGGGAAACCAATATTCCATCCCTTCCCTAGCTAAGGTCATTCTCAAGGCATCTCTCTGACCCAGTAGCAAAGTGGATTTATGAGACACAGCTTTCCCCAAGTTATCTCTGATCAAGGACTCTGAAGACACAAGGCTGGTTTAGAAAGCCAGCCACCACTCTCTGCCCTCATGGGCCGGTGTGGGTGTTCAGAGTCTTGAGAAATCAGAGTAGGAATTTGCTTCTAGCTGGGCTTCAACCCCTGGAAAAAAGACCATTATGCCCAGACCAGAAACTGACCTCTGCGGGACTGGAGAGGTCTTGGAGTTGTCTGGAGACACTACAGCTGCTCCTGGGTAACAACATTACTCTTTCAACTAAAGCTACACTGACCCAGAGTGATACATCAGACATGAAAAGGCAAAACAATTACTCAGTTCACTTTCCTCTCCCAGGGGTTCAGTCTCTGCTGCCATCAGTAATAAGGAAGGACGTCAGGTGCCCTAGAAAGAAAGCCAAGAAGAGAGGAAGGCAGGAGTGAGGAAATAACAATTCAGACTCCAAAATCCAGTACATGGGCCACCTGGGAGGAGAATGCTTTGCTTGCTTTTGAAGGTAGAGTTCCTTGGAATTTAAAAAAAAAAAAAAAAAAAAAGGCTAATGTGAAATGCAAACCAAACCAGAGAAGCCTATATACCCTACATGTATTCAGAAAGAAAATTGTTTTCTGAAGGTGATAGCACCAGTAGTGATTTCTGGAGAATTAATCACTGTGAGTGTTTGAAAGGAGGATGATAGAAGACCTTGAAACTCCTTGTGAGCTACAGGTCAGCGCCCATCTCAGATGACTTCACAGTGATGCATGCAGAACAGCAAATCTTAAACCTGTAGTTCATCCAAGAATGCCAACCTGACATAGGCAATCAACTCCAAAGTGACTGATAGCATTTTCCTAACCTTAGAAATGACCAGACTTTCCAAGGTAAAATATTTATCTTTGAGGAGACACTCAATGAGGGAGAAATTTAACTGAGCATGTTATGAACCAAGACTGGAGGGAGAATAAATAGCATAAACCTTTTTACCAGTTGTATTTACTCTGATAAGCAAAATGGACCAAGATGGCAGAAGATGAGGGTGCCAAAAAGAGTTCATTTTCAAAGAATCAAGGCCAGGCACAGTGGCTCACACCTGTAATCCCAGCACTTTGGGAGGCCGAGGTGGGTGGATCACGAGGTCAGGAGATAGAGACCATCCTGGCTAACATGGTGAAACCCTGTGTCTACTAAAAATATACAAAAAATTAGCCGGGCGTGGTGGCGGGTACCTGTAGTCCCAGCTACTTGGGAGGCTGAGGCAGGAGAATGGCGTGAACCCAGGAGACGGAGCTTGCAGTGAGCCGAGATCATGCCACTGCACTCCAGCCTGGGCAACACAGTGAGATTCCATCTCAAAAAAAAAAAAAGAATCAGTACTTTTCAGGCTATAGAAAGATGAGAAACTTGCATGAAGGACCACCCTCATAAGCTCGCCATCATAGGAAATGTATGGTCATAAAGAAACCCTATATTTTACTCACAAAATTGGCATATGACCAAAAAGAATGGCTCTGGGTATCAGTTGAGAACTTCGGAAAGTGAAGTCATTGCAAATGGATTTTTTTTTAAGCCAAAAGTTTTTGTTATAGTCACTGATATTATTATTATTGCTACAGTCAGTGATATTACTGAAGTAGTGTGTTGGAAGGTTATCCACAAGAATGCAGATTTCATTAAAATAAAATTCAGCTGCAAAACTGTATCCAGGTTTTCTTTCAGGGATTAGCATGCAGGTCCTGGACACATGGAGGCAGATATCAAAGGCCAGATCAAGGTGATGAAACCCTGAACTAGGGCAGTAAAGTAGACATGGAGAGGAAGAGTCTGTCTGGAAAGATATTTGAGAAGTAGAATTGTAAGATCTGGTGACAGATTCGTGGTAAAAGGCAAAAGGAGAGATGGGGTTGAGCAAGGGGAAAAGGTCTAGGTTAATACCAAGTGATAGAATGGATGGAAGTTTTTCATTCTTCCATTTCTATACTTCTAATGAGAAATAGAGAAGTGACTTTTGTGGAGCAGAGGATAAATTCAGGTTTAGATGTTTGTTGTTTGAGGTTCTTGTGGGACAAGTAGGTAGAGATGTCTAATAGAAAGCTGGGGACACATGTCCAGAGCCCTGGAGGGTGATCTGGGCTGCCAATTTGGAGTTGAGGCTCATTAACATTAAGGTGGTAGAGATTGTCCAGAAAGATAATGTTGGGGGAAGACAAGGGAGTCAAGGACAGAACCTTCAGGAGCACAAGTCCTTGATAAGCAACAAAAGGAAGCAAATCATTAAAGGTGAATGAAGAAAGAGGACAATCAGGTGTCACAGAAGCCAAAATAAAGCAGATCTACCTCTTGGGAGATGTGGTTTTATGACTCCTCAAATCTGTAATTAGGTACAAACATTGGGAACGGTATTAAATGGAGCTGGGGGAGCCCAAAGGGACAAGAGACACACATTTTTGACTTTATGACAGTATTGTAGTAGGGAAGGTCATATGAGTGTAAGATACATATCTATAAGGTGGGGCTCTTTTAGCACCAGCTGATAGGAGCCACCTGTTCTCTTCAAAGTCCCAGCCATCTTTCCCTATTTGTGGTGCTGTATAACAACCAAATTGGGAGTGAAAAAGCTGGGTCAAGAGTAGGTGTGTCAGGTACTAGAGTGGTTCCACTGTCGGATACCCAAGACCAGCATCAATCCAGGACAAAACTGGGTAATAAATGAATGTGTCCCTCTGCCCCCCTCGGTCACCTGTCCTCCCAATTGGCACTCCCTCTCTTATGTGTCTAAGGGACACGTGGCTGAACCCAGTTTATAGTGGTGCTTCTGCCAACTGTGAGCTGAGGAAGAGTGGCATGACTTGCAGTGCAGTGAAGTGCTTCCAGAAATTTCTTAAGTCACTTTATTCTGCCTATCACCTGGCCCAGCCTATAATGATAGCTGGTGGTACTCCATCTTCCCCACCACCAGGCAGCAAGCTTTTCATGGGACCCTTTTCCCTCCTATTATTTCTTTTTTTCCCTATCCATTTAACCCTGTCCCAGCAAATACTTTAGAACACCACAAGTATCTCTGGCACTTTGGCTCATGAGGGCTTTTAAAGCTAAAGAAATTTTTGAATAGTGTAAAAAAAGAGTGATCTGGTTGAAAACTAATGTTAGGCTGTAGGGACAAAAAATCTGCAGGACTGGGTGAATGACTACTGAAATGGAGTTTAACAGTGTCAGGGGTTGGAGGGGTACAGGAAAAGGAATCAATGGTGATCCTGAAGGTTGGAAGACCAAGAAGTGTACAGACAAAGCATGTAAGTTTGGATTTTGTAGAACTATCTATGTAACGCTGACTTTTAGGTAAATTGTCACTCGAAGGCACCAGATTGCTATGTGTTAACTATAGACTGAGAAATAAGACTAAATTTCTATTATGAAGCAAGAAAGGTAATTCAAGCTCCTCATTTTCAAAGGAAGAAATGCAACACGCTATAAAGCATATCATTTAAACCCTCAATAGCTTTGCCAGCATAAGTTGCATTCTAAATGTCTGTAGGTGGAAAGCCGCTAGGTTTCAAAGATGCCCTCTTCGATGCCATGAAATGTGCTATTTCCCCTCATTTCCTTTCCATGAGTTAAACTCTTGGAAGAGGAAGTAGAAGGAGGGAAGTTTTGCCCAGTAAATTGGGGATTCTTGTCCCAAAGGGTAAAAGAAGCTGATATAGTAAACTGAGTTTTGTCCCTGCATGCTGCATCTCTTCTCATTCCACTAACCTCTTCAGCCTCTCCATAAATTAATCCTCTTGTATTATTGCCTGTTACAAAGGGCAACCGTCAGGGTAAGAAGACCCTACTAAGAACTCTCTGCCTGAGCCCAACATCAACAATGCCCATATGATCTTCAGCAATCCAGCTTTTTTATTGTAACCAGAGACCAGAGTTCTAACCTTCTTGAAATAATCTCCACCTAGACCCACCTTCCAGTTTATCTGAGAACTCACTTAAAGACTACACCACAATAACACATTCTGCAAAGACCCCGCGTCCCAGAGATGGCACATACCCCAGACTGCCTTGCTCCTCTGCAAACCTTAGCCAATTACCGAGATATTGGCTCCCTCTGCTACAACTACATATAACCCTGTCTTCAAAGCCAAATGTTAAAAAGCCTCATCCATATTAACCAGCTCCCTTTGGGAAGTGATAATTGGAAAACCACATAATGATATCTGTTTGCTAGAGAAAACATCTAACTGAGGCAGAAGTGACACAGCAAATGTGTGACTGCGAGAGCAGACCCCAGGTGCCTTAGCTGCCCCAAAACATGGACATGCGACCGCAGAAGAGGCAGGAGCGTCCCAGCGCTGCAGCTGGTACAGGGTTACTCTAGACGAAACAGGCCCTCTGTGTTACAGATCTGACTTCCAGAAATAGGAAGGATGATGCTCTTTCCCTCCCTCCCTCTCTCTCTCTCTCTGCAGAATCTCAGGTCAGGAGTTGTGCTGAAAGAATCCCGAGCCCCCTTGGCAGTCAGTGTCCCAGGAACCCTTGCTCACGTGTCAGCGGCACCACCAAGCCAAGTCTGAGGGGGTGCTGGGTATGCTACTGCATTCTAGCCACTAGAGGGCAACAGAGTCACATCCACGCCTCTGGCTCTGGTTCCATCACCTGAAAGAAGAGTAAACTGCACACAAATCACTGCCATGTTCCTCAAATTGAAGGCTACAGTAATTATCCATGAAAATGAGGAATGCAGAATCTACTACTCTGTAAGGCTGTCTGGGCTTTGCTTTATTTTGTCAACTTGCCCTTCAAGGTGGCCCAGAGCTGTGAAGCAGAGACCTTTTGAGTTCTGCATCATCGAGGGTGAGTCTTAAAGTCCTCCTGCTTTTAATCCTGATGGTGCTGGCAGCTGTAACCCACCCTTCCTGTCTTTCTGAGATGGCAACAATATGCCAAGAGGGATCAACTAGCCGTGGTCATCACGTGCATCTTCTTGAACCACAGATACCCTTGCATCCCCTTGACTCATGGCCACTGTTTATATGTCTTCATGAAAGGACATTGAAATATGGGAAAATACAGAGCTGGGTGGTAGGTGAGAAATGACGAAGAGGAGGCTTCCTTGAACAAAATGGAAAGAAGAAAAGCCATCCCCAGTCCATAATCTTATTGTTAGTAGGGCCCTTGGAGATATCCAGTCCAATACCTCAGCTTCACGGGCAGAGGATCTAAGGCCCTGAGAATTCTGATTGCTCTCCAAGGTCAAACTATTGAATGGCAGAGCCAGATTGAGGCCTGAGGCCTCCAAGGTCCTTGCTATATTCTTTCCTGTACCCCATGAAGCTTCTATTGGGTCCTTTGTAAGATGCAAGATGGGGATGGAGATAAAAACTGGAAAAAAAACAAAGAAAATAGATTCTTCAGTTTTTGTAATCAACATGTAGTAATGTAGGATAAATTTAAGACAATATTACTTCTCCCTGGAAAAAATAGGATTCTATCTTTAATTGTAGAACGAAAATATTTTCTCTTAAAGGAATTTCAGTCATCAGTACAGTGTGGAGGGGTATTTTATTTAGGGAGCTCATCTACATATTTTTAAAGTCAGACACTAAGCTCACCTTTTCCTCACCCTCCTTATCAGCTGATCCTGCATTTATTCCAGCTTCTCAGACCACCTCATCCCCGACACAGTCTTCTCCAGCAGTATGCTGGCCTGGATCAGATGGTCAGATTATGCCCTCAGGATCTTTCCTAACCTTTCAGAGCAGAAAAAGAAAAAGTAAAGAGGAAACCCCCAGGATACTCTCTCTCTGTTGATCAGGGATCCTGGGACTCTCCCAGCCCTCTTTGCACTACTCAGTGTCAAATAACAACGAACGTTTTTGCAGCTTTCTCTTTGCTATTTGATCTCCTATAGCCATCACTTGAGCTATTTTCTCTTCATTTTCATTAATTAATTATTCTGTTTAGACTGTGCCCTCAGAGCTCTGGCAGGGGTGGGAGGAGGATAACAACTTTATTAATGCAGTTATTATATTACTCCTAAAGGCAATGATGATGCAAGGAAGTGAACAAAGGAGAGTTGAGTAACTGAATAAGATGCCATGTGTCTTCCCACCTCACTTTAATCATTCCCAAGTGTCTCACTGGCCATTTTCTACCGCATGACCTCTTGAGGTCCCTTACAGTTCTCTCTATGGCTCTTTAAGACTGTAATGTACAGAATTCTAATGGTTCAGCAAATTGGTGTTGTCAGGGGCAGAATGATGATTTCATTTTATTCATGATATAAGAATTAGTAATAACACACGTATATAGTACTTTTATGAAAGCACTTACACATCACTGACTTCTCACAGCAAACCTGAGAGGTGGCAGGAGGAGGTATTTTCACCTCCATTTTACAGATGGGGAAGCCACAGCACAGAGGGTTAACAAGCACCTCCCACTAGGCTGATGCAGTACCACACCAGAGCTTCACCCTCCCCACCCCACGTCCAAGGGACTCACTTGCCTGGAGATCAAGCTTTCCACCTCCCTTCACTAACCATTTAATAAATAGTGAAGAGAGCTTGGGAAAAAAATCAGCATCCAAATGGAATCTTAAATTTCCATTATGACTTTAGTCCTGTATCTAGAGATCCAGTGTGTAAGTAACCCCGAGGGCAGCCATAGAAGGAAGACAGAGGAAGCAGAGAGCAGTGAGCACTGTAAGACTTTAATCGAAGGTTTCTCAACCTCAGCACTATTGACATCTGGGGCCAAATAATTCTTTGCTGTGGCACTGTCATGTGCGTCGTAGAACATTTAGAACCTCATCCCAGGTCTCTACCCACTAGATGTCAGTAGCGCTCCCCACCCATCCCCAGTGTGACAAGGAAAAACGTCTGCAGCTATGCGAATTGTCCCCTTGGGGTCTAAAATTGCTGTTGGTTTAACCCATGATATTATGATATGTAGCCTGTCTCAATATCTCTCTCTCCTCTGCCACCCCCTTTCCCAGGAATAGTTTGATGAGTTATTCATCCTCAATGGAGATGGCCAAAGTTCCATCTTTCTTAGGAGTTTGGACCTCAATTCTACGTCTCCCCAAAAGAGCCATCTTGGGAGAGTTGCCTTATCTCTTACAGCCTCAGTTTCCTCCTTAGTCAAATGCAAATTATAGCATCCATCTTGCAGATTTTTATAGGGATCAAACAAGACAATGTCTACAGAAGCCAAGAATAGGATCTGGGTCAAAGAAAACATTCAGATATATAGCCAGTGTGATTTGGAGGAAAGAAAGGGTTTGGGTGAATGGAAATAACTGAGGATGATACCTCTTTAGGGAGAGTTTGCATCTGCCACCCCCCAGTCTACCTTGCTACAAGACACTGCCAGGAGTCAGCAATCCAGCAGAGTTACTGTGTGCCTGGGGAAAGGAGGCGACCTTACTCCCACGAGTGCACAGGACTGTACTAGCTCAATGACAAGCTCTGCTTCTCTCTGAGTGGCAAAGCAGAAGTTGTCCTTAACCACTGGGATATTTCTTCTTAGGTATTCAACCCTGTGGCCTTCCCTAAAGCTTCATATTGTAATTAATTTCTGGGGCCAGCAGGGAGTTTTCTCCTAGAACTTCTCATGGCCATATTGGCTTCACTGATGTCTCAGCTAAAATGTTACCTCTTTACAGAGGTCATCCCTGACCACCCAACTACAGTTGCCTCAATCACTAGCCACCCTGTATTTCATTATCCTCTTTCATTTTCTTCTTAGCTCTCTTGCTTTTTGTCTGTATCTCCCTTTACAATGTTAGCTTCATGAGACCAAGGACTTTGTTCTGCTCACCACCATAGCCTATACATTTAGAACATTGTCAGAACTGCCGTAAAGAGTCCAGAATATTTATTGAATAAGTAAGTAAATTTATTTATTAACTCAAAGATGTGGAGTTACTCCTGTGGTACTGACACTAGAAGACAATAGGTAGTTATTATTTATGTAATTGATCTGAAATGTTCATGGGGAACCAACTGTGATTCCTGGTAGCTGCTATTCCTCAGAAGACTTTTTTTGAGAGGCCAGTTTTCTCCTGGAACAGGAGTCTTATTAAAGAGAAGAAAGCATAGCCCACAGTGGCCTCTTGAATTCCTCCATCCTTCGTAGCGGACATTGCCAATGACACAAAGTCATAGGAAATGGACTGGAATGGGGAGATTGAGTGTGGACTTCTGGCCCAAATATGAATCTAGAACTGTGCTTAGGAAAGACCCTGAGAAGGTTTATATCATTAAAGGGAAGCCATCGGTTACTGAGAAAACCATCCTAATCCTCAAGAGTAGTTGTATTGACCATCACTCACCATGACCTGGGTAAGTGGTTCTGAGGTCCAGACCCTCATTTTCAAGCTTCTTTGCCCTCCCCACTAAGAGATCCCCATTGAAGAACAGAGATCAGAATTGTAGTGGCATTTGGTGTGTTCAGGGACAGAGAACAGACATGACAACTCAGATCCTGCCATCTGATCTCTACCACCCAGACCCTGCCATGTGAGCCAGCCACCTGCATGAGGTCTGCAGCACCCCTCGGCGCCTTGTCCTTCAGATGGCTGGCAGGAGACTCAGGCTTGCCGAGGAGGCACGCCCTCGATGCTGGTACTGCTGCTTCCACATTTGGACTGCATTGCATTACCTCACTGCCAGCCAATCGGCGCCTCCCAAGGCTCAGCACACATTTTTCGCTTGCCACAGACATTGCCTCATGTCACTCTCTCTGGCCCTGGAACAACCTGGAACATGCCGCTTGTTGCGTGCCGAGGGCATGCTCTGGGTGGGGTGGCCTGGGGACATGGGGGAAGGAGAAAGCTGGTCCTCAGGGCCATAGGCACCAGCAGCCTCTTCCCTCCAGACCCTTCCATATCATGCACATGAATCTAGCATCGTTGGAATACAATATTCTGCATGCCTGGGCCCCTCTCCATTGGGGTGGGGGCAGCAAGAGGGTTGAGCAGGGGTGGTGAGAGATTTCAGCACCCTTTGAAGAAGCTAAGCCCAAGTCACTCTCGAAGCCCCAGGTGCATCTGCTGGTAAGACCAGTGGTCTGTTAAGCCTCTTTAAACCAGGTCCTCTATGCTGGGTTAGGATGACAATTTCCCCACCCCCTCCTCGACCTCTGGCTCTCTCCCACCCAAGACTAAATTACAGCTACTGGCATCTCCACTGACAAAACAGAAGAGTGAAGACAAGTATTAAGGAACCCAGAGGATGTCTTTTGGCCAAGGCACATCCACATTGTTAAAAGCCTCGGGACTCCAGTCTCAGGAAAGTCACCAGCAAGCTCTCACAAGGGCCAGATAACTGTGGTCACAAGGGTGCTTAGCCTGTGCTTGGGAGAGCTGACTCCCAGTAGGGACAGAAAGCAGGGAGAGAGGGGCCTGAGGCCTTCCAGCAGAGACATCCTGCCCCTGTGCCTCAGGTGGTTCCCTGGCCTCTCAGAAGGCCTCCATGCTCATTCTAGAGGGACGCTTTCAGAGAAGGCATTTTATCTTCGTGCAGTCTCACTTCAAAGAGTTTTTCCTCCAGGTAGAGCTAGAGATGTTAATATGTCTTTAAATAGAGAAGAGGGGGTGGATAGAGGACAGGGCGGGAAACCATTATAAATCTTCACAGGGTGTTCAATATTTTACACAAACACAGCTATCCAGCAGCAATAATGGCTCCACAGATGTGCCGCGTGTGTGCATTGCTAATAGCTTTGCATGCACCGAGGAGGAAAGTGTGGTCAGAGAACACAGTGGAGAAATACTAATGAGGAGCAAAATCAGATGATTCAAGGCTCCCTCCATTCAGTGCCTGTGCGCACAAATGAGGAGCAAGGTCGCTCTGCCGATGACGACGACATCAGACCTCAGCCTCCCAGATCTTTCCACTTTGCAAGCCAACAGAGCATCCCCTGCAGATGGGAGGACATGGGTCCTACTACAGATTAACTGTTGTGACTTCCTCAGCCCCTCCCTGGACAGAGGGATTCTGCGTTCAGATATTGTTTAGTTATCGAGTCCCCAGTTGTCACGCACAATACCCAGCAGGAGGTATCATAAACACATCCATCAGAAAACCAGTTAAAGTAGAGTAGAACAATGGGCCCGTTGCACACAGAGCAGAATGCACAACAGCTAAGCCAATCTGATAAATTCAAGTGCTAATGAAATTTTATGGAGACAAAGAGGTGGTGGCCTACAGTGTCAAAGGGAAATTGATCCTGTTGTCATCCTTAGACAATTATATTCTCTCACCGTTCATCCCTCAGTTGATATATCCAGGCAGAAAGACATGTTTTTCCTTACTACAACCACAATGGCTGTTGGAAAACATTTCTCTGATGGGGAAACAGGGCAGGCATGTAATATTCTGCATGCCTGGGCCCCTCTCTGTTGGACCCTTGGGGAGCAAGAGCCACCCTGTGTCAGAGAACACACGATAATAACTTCTTGAATCACACTCCATGCCCAGCATTATTCTCTAAGGGCCTCTTCTTTTGCATCAGGCCAAAGTCTCAGTAGAGACTTTGCACAAGAATTGTACAAGATGAACTGGGCCCTTAAAATGGGTTAAAAAGAAATCACTTGCCATCATCTCCTTAAAAAGTAACAAGAATAAAAAAGAAAAGATGGTTCAGTTAGTAGAAAAGCTTCAGCCCCCACTTTGCAAAGCTGATTTATTTTCAGTCTTTTAAATTTCATTTATTACCTAAAGAATAATGCATACATTTTCAAGACCTGTTTAAAAAAAGAAACCTATTACATAACCGTAATAGGTCTGGCAACTATTGTTGTAGTGAACAAACTGGACATCTCATCTCAGAGAAATGAGTTCAGAAGTCTGAGGCCTACGCATTGTTTTAGGGTGGTCCAATGCACCTGCTTCCTACACAGGAAGGGTAGGAAAATGCTACAGGTTAAAAGTATGAATCTAAACATTCCACAGGGGAAGAGGGGAAGCTATTTCTGAACCATTAGAGTAATGGCGATGGCGCAACTGTCACTGAACTGCTGTCTCTTCTACCCTTGTCTTTCAAATGACATAAAAATAGAGTCTGGTATCTACTCTTATAGGCACTGGGTAGAAGCTGGTCAAACAACCCATGTACAGTGAATTAATCAAGCATATCTCCATGTTACATGACCACTGGGCACATCTCTAGGGCCAACAGTCTACTCTAAGGAAGAACAAGGTAGAGGTCTAAATTCTCTGTGGGACTGTAACAGAAACATCGCATCATAGAACCAGGGAGAGTCTTTCTAGTTCATTTCCCTTTATCACTATGATTGACATAATTGTGAGTCTTAGAGTGTCAGTGACTTGCCCAGGGCCACACACAGGGCTGAGCTGGGGCTAGAGCTCAGGTCTACACTTCTTCCTCCAGTGTCCACTACACCACGCTACTCAAAATGTGGTCCACAGCCCCGCAATATGGACAGCACCTGGAAGCTAGTTAGAAACACAGTCTTGGGTTCCACTCCAGGCCTATGAAATCAGAACGTGTAGCTCAACAAGATCCCCAGGTGATGGTAAACACACTAAAGTTGAAGGAGCATTGCTCTACCCAACACTGTCCATGTGCACACATAGGGGCGACTTCTCAGCAGGAAATCTCTGCTAACCATGGCAACTGACCACTCGACTCCCACAGGCCATCCTGCTCAGAAATGGCCTCTGGGATGCTTTTGTGGGGACATAGCTCACTACTTCCTGTTAAGTAGATCTCCAGAGGACCAGTAACACCAAGGCATGGGATAATTAAAGCCAGGGGTCTCTACGCATCACTGTGCCCTCACCTCTTTTTTGCAGACATAGCATTTACTTCTCTGATGACAGTCACTGTCCACCATTTGTTCCATCTCCTGTTGTTAATTGGAATTTACCATTCTTTTTTGGTTTTTTGTTTGTTTGTTTGTTTGTTTTGAGACAGAGTCTCCTTCTGTCTCCCTGGCTGGAGTGCAGTGGCCTGCTCTTGGCTTACTGCAACCTCTGCTTCTTGTGCCTCAGCTTCCCGAGTAGCTGGAATTACAGCCACGTGCCACCACACCCAGCTAATTTTTGTATTTTTTAGTAGAGAGAAGGTTTTGCCATGTTGGCCAGGATGGTCTTGAACTCCTGATCTCAAGTGATCTGCCCACCTCAGCCTCCGAAAGTCCTGGGATTACAGGCATGAGCCAGTGCATCTGGCCTGAAATTTACTATTCTTAAAGGAAATAGGCCTATTTTCCATTTTCAGACCTATGCAAGCTTTCCTTTCTGTTCTTAAATGCATAGGGTTTTCACTCCCAAAGAAGAAACTATCAAACTTTCCTTTAGGAATGGTCTAGCTTTTGACCCCAAGCCTCCACTGCTTATGAAAAAAAAAAGTTTTTATGTCCAAGATGCTTTTTGAAAGTATTCCCTGGAATATCCAGTCATTTACAGAAGATATTGGTCTGCTCACAATCTCTCAAGTCATTTACTGGGACTCAAGAAAGGATTGAGTCTCACCCCTGCATTGTACAGGTAAGGGGAATGGGATCACGATCTCTTTGTGGACTGGGACCAGAAGAAAAGTCATTACTTCTACAGGCCCCATGCTTGGGAGCAGACCATGATGGAACTGTCCAACCTGCATGAATCCTTGTAGAGAAATGACCTGTTTCTACACCACAAAGAGCACCACAAAACAACAAAGAAACCTCCTAACCGTGGCAGAGGACCCTTCATAGCCTGAGTCCTTAGCCACTTGCCTGACTGTTGATCCTGTGACTTCACAATTCTTTGGTTTCGATCCCCCTTCCTTCTTTGGATGAGACACTTGGCAGCAGTTGCCAGGCTTGTTTTTGTTTGTTTGTTTGTTTGTTTTTTTGTTTGTTTGTTTCAAACGGAGTTTCACTCTTGTCGCCCAGGCTGGAGTGCAATGGTGCGATTTGGCTCACTACAACCTCCGCCTCCTGGGTTCAAGCAATTTGAAACTTAAATCAAATTTAAGGCCATTTGATTCTTTTCTCTGGCTCTCCTGCTCTTGGCAGCCCTGGCCTCCCTCCTGCGGAATCCAGCCCAGCCCCTGAGACACAATTCCTCAGTCTAGGTGGGGAAGACACACCTGCTGCCCCAGGCATGTCCTGGCCCAAGAGCAGAACCAGGATTTATAAGAACTTTCCCTTCCCCCAAGATGCAGACAATCCAGCTGAGGAAACAAGATAAAACACACTCAGAGTAAATTTAACTAACAAGGCAGCAGATGAAAAGAGCTTAAGAGAATCTCAGGCAACAAGTGCAAGAGACCGCCAGAGGCAGGAGGGGTCATGAAGACTAAAGGCTTTGGTGATTTCATGGGGAAGGTCAGACTTAAACTGGGCTTTGAAGAGGGGATAGGATTGGCATAGGCAGCAAGTAGATGAAATGAACCGGGTTAGCCCTTCCAGAAGCTTCATGTGGGAGGCTGGAAGTGCACAGAAGTCTTCTTATGAGTCCTTCAGGAACAGTAGCTGTTAGCATCCTCTCCTGCAGAGAGAAGGCCCCCAGATAGACTCAGCCAAAGGCAGCAGCCTGCTTAGGAATGCATATTATGTCCTGGATCTCAGTGGTGGTAGGCTTTTGCAGAGCTTCTTGAGGGCTCCTGTATCTGCTCACTGCTGAAGTCTAGAAAGGCCTTAAACGGTAGAATGCATGTCTCTGCCTGAGACTCCTGGCTGGCAGCCTAGATCTGGAGACCCCAGTCCTTTCCAGGAACCTGCAGGCGCCAAGCAGCATGTTGTCTAAACACTTGGCATTCCCTCCATCTCAGAATGCACCAGATTCCCAAGCAGCAAATACAGCCCAAACACCACATTACACATACTATTGTGTCTTCCACAGCCATAATAAGGGTTGTTTGTGAAGTTGTCGTTGAGTGTTTTTGTCTTTCCCTCCAACATTTTCTATGGTGAATATCAGCCTTCTCTTTATGGCTTTATTTTATATTTGTGTTGATTTGATACACTCTGAAGCATGACAGAAAATACAGCACAGTCTCAAACTCTGTGAGCCAAGGCAGCTGGATATGGGGCGGACAAGGGACTGAGAAAGCAACCTCTAGGTCTACGTGGAGCCAAATGCCCTGGATATACCTTAAGAATGATGCTTCACAGATGTAGATTGTGTTGAGTTCTCACTTGTACTATTTATTTGGATTCTTGCTCTACTGCTATAAGGAAGGAGAAGCGAGTATTATCGTACTGATTTATAGTGTTGCATCTCATGGCCCAGAGAGGCCAAGAGATTTGCCTAGTTCTACATAGTCACTTAGTGGCAGAGCCAAGCCTAGATCCTAGGGTTGTTCACATCTCAGCCCTGTATACTCTCCCCTAGACTTCATCAGGAGCCCAGGAGAAGTGGAACAACAGCAAAAAGGGAGTGAAAGAGGAGACATGTCCCATTTAGTTATTACCTTTTATTCCACAGAGCAGTAATTTACTTGTGATTGGATGATATCAGTTACAAACTGTATCACCTAGGAAAATGTATATGTCAACAATATATGCAAAGGATAGAAAGGTATAACATGATGAGGGTGGAACATTCAGGAGAATGATTGAGTGGTGAGTATGCTACAAAAACTTTTCATTTATTCAAAACATCAGCTATTCAGTTATTCAAGACAACTATGACATGATCAGAAGTAAATAGTAAGGTACCCAAGAATCCAGACTTTATGATGCAAAACTCAGGTACAGAAGCTTATACTTTCAAAAAAAATCCCTCTCATTTATTTCCTCTCAATAAATTCTTCTCATTTATTTACTATTATGTTTAATGATTTATTCTTGCTTTGAGTACATTATTAATCATCTTGGTTATTTCAGTCCTTGTGCAAAATCAAGTTAAAAGTAAAAAATTAGAAAGTGATGGGGATAATACTGGATATAGCTATTAAAAAAATAGCTGATATCCAGACAATGAAGAAGAAGGTAGCAAACTAAAGATTCTATTTTTAAAGAAGCTGAAAAAAACTGGTAAACAACACAAAATATAGAAATATGACAAAGGCCCAACATCTAATATAACAATAATTATATTCATGATGATGCCCTGAGTCTTTAAGAAAAAGTTTAAAATGGTTGATATCCTACAAAATTTTTAAGAAAATGGGAGAGTATTAATTCATTTTGGAAAGATGATTGGCAGATTAGCTCAGATTAAAAATAGTTGCGAATGTGTAGAGGGATAAAATCTGAAAATTTCTCTTAGCAGGAACTTCTAATTGTCCAAAAATGGGAATCTTTTAGAAGAATCTTTAGGAGTGGAACTGTAGCATAATCAGAATCGCCTGGAAGACTCATTAAAATCATCTCATTTAATATTTACAATAATCCTGTGCTATTAACGTTCCCATATTTCATAGGGTAAGACTAGATTTCAGAGGGGTAACTAATCTGCCAAAGGTCACACATTAAAAACGGTTGATTCCATGGGTTGGGGGTGCACCGAGGATTTGCGTCTCTAAGTTTCTAGATGATGCTGATACTACCTGTCCACAGAAGGCACTTGGAAAGCCACTGCTCTAGAGGTTGACCAGGGAAAGTAGCAATAATTGCAAGAGAAGGACCAATAAGAAATGCAAGAACATGTAAGTGGGAGAGGCCAAATTCTCTTTTATGACATTCCCAAAGAACAAACACTCCCATGGGCTCCATGACTCTTTAACTAGGAGCAAACCTGGTATGCTGAATGCAGAACCTGCTACATGGATGCAAAGTATTTCTTTCCCTATTCAAGCTTTGGACACAGAATCTTTAGAGAAGCCCCAGTAAATCTAACTCCCCTCTTCAAGCTTCTCATTCAAGACTGTTTCTGGGAGAAAATGTCCCGGGCCTCAGTGGGATATCAAGATCCTTCTCCAGCATCAGGGGCATGTTGCATAATTCCTCAGGCGAGCACTGCCAGCCAATGTTGTCACAGGCACAGGCCCGCAGGAGCCTATAAAATCCTGATACACAAAATGTGTTGACATTAGTAATCTCATAAAGATGGATTTGCCGTTTGCTCAAAAGCTTTCCATAAAGACTGTTTGTCAAAGATAGGAAGTAAAAAGCAGATGCTGAAGGGCTCTTCTTCAAGGTCCTCTTGGGGGACAGGGTGTACACGGTCAGGGTCGGGGGACATGGCTCACCTTCCTCCTTCTTCCTCAGGTCCCTGAGCATAGATCATAGGCTTACCTGATCAGGCGGTGGGGCTAATCCTCAAACATCCTGATTTGTCTCCAGTACAGAGCCTTGGCTGAGGACTACAGACTAAGCAAATAGAAGTAGATGCTGTAAGAGCATTTACTGAATACTTACTGGATACCAGGCACAGCTGTAAGTGTTTTGCATGCATCATCTACTTTAATTTTTATGCCAATCCTGTGCTACTACCGTCCTTATGGGGAAGTAACTTGCCCAGCCTCACGTATTCTAATGCTGTGTGTTCAAACCCTGGCACCATCTTTCCTTCAATGCAGAACTCTTGGCACTCTTCTTTCCTCTCTGGCTATTCCTTCTCAGCTTCCTTTGCTGGATGCCTCTTATCTCCTTGATCTCTAAATCAAGGGTCAAAAAAAACAAAAACAAAAACAAAAACCCTGTCTCTAAACAGCCAGATGGTAGATTTTGTTGGCCTTTGGCAGGCCATGAGTCTTTGTCACAACTACTCAGCTCTCCTGTTGTAGCTCAACAACAGCCACAGACAATAGATAAAGAAATGCAGATGAATGGTTCCAATTAAACTTTATTTACAAAAAGACATGAAAA
This sequence comes from Homo sapiens, assembly GCF_000001405.40. NCBI lineage: Eukaryota > Metazoa > Chordata > Mammalia > Primates > Hominidae > Homo > Homo sapiens. The sequence goes on along the minus strand of NC_000014.9, from coordinate 78,586,065 downwards.
TCTGGTCACTGTCTGACAATTCCTGCTCCAAGTAATAGGGCTCCCTAGCATTTGGGAAGAGAATCAATGCTTTGGCCCCCACTAGCTACACTCAATTTATCTACGCTTCCATCCAGTCTCAAGCCTCTAAATAGCATGTGTATGCTAATGATTCTCAAATCCATAATTCTAGCCTAGATTTTTGTCTAAACTCCAACCTTACTCATACCATCACCAATTTCATATCTCTACTAGAGTGTCTCCTAGACACGGAAATGCAAGTCCAAAGCTGAACCCCTAATATCCAACCCTTCCCCTAAAACTGCATCTCTCTCAGCCTTACCCATCTTAGCAAACAACAGCTCATCAGTCCAGGTGCTCAGGCCTTAATCACATGCTTGGTGTCACCCTGGCCCCTCCCTTCCTCTCATACCCCAGACCCAATTACCAACAACCCCATCAAGCATAGCTTCAAGATATGCCCAGAATGAGACCTCTTCCGCCACTAACTTCATGGCCAAGCCACCTGGATTATGACAATAGTCTCCTAACTAGTCTCCCTCCACCCTCCCTTGTCCCTAAATTTCTATCCACACTCCGCAGGAGTGATCAACTTTTAACAGTATAAATCAGAGCATATTCACTCTGCTTCAATTTGTCCATGGCTCCGTCTCACTCCCAAACCTTCCATTCTCTGGCCCCTTGGAAGCTCAGATATCATCTCTACTCTCAGCCTTCCTCCCTCTGTACTAGCCACACAGGCCCCTTCCTGTGCCTCCAACTCACCAAGCACATTCCCACCTCAGGTCCTTTGCACTGGCTGCCTGTGACCATCTGCCCTGATAGCCTTTTGGCTCAGGCTCTAATTTTCTCAGGTATGAGCTTGAATACTACTTCAACATTGAGGCCTTTCCTGAATGTCTACATAAATTAATCACCCCCCCCCCTTATCTCCCCTATTTCTTCTTATTTTTCTCCATAGCATTTATCACCACCTAATAATGTATGTATTTGTATATTTCCTTTTTGTCTCTTTTCCTCAAATAGGAAATCAACCCCATGAGAACTAGGGCTCTGTATGTTTGGCTCACTGCTGGAAATCCTGAAGCTAATGCTATGCCTGTTATGGAGTAGATATTGAACATTCTTTAAAATAAAGAAATAGACAAACCAAAAACAAGTATATAATACCATCATCTAGTTTAACTCTGCAACCACTCTTGCAAATTGAAAATGCAGAGGTACAGAGGTAGAGTGACTTGCTGAAAGTTACACAAATGATGGATGATTTGACGCTAGAACACGGCCTTTCTGATTGGAGGTTCTGTCAGCCTCTCACACAAGATGTAAAATTCATAAATTCCTCCAATAATTGTTTCTAAGGAGAAGGAGGTTATGTTACAAAGTTATTTTTGTATTTCAACAGATGACTCCCAAAGCAGTGCTTATCAATTTATCTCACCAGTGTCTGTCTACATCACAAAGAATGAGAGACCATGCCATTTGATCCTGGTGGAGACATGACAGAGCTGGAGGAGAGCTGTTTGGGAAAGAACTAGGGATGGTGTGTGTTTGATGACCAAATCCTTCCTGTAGGACAATGATGTTCAGCCTTTGGGACCATAGCCTTTTTAGAACAGCCAAATACTTGGAGGATCATCACAGGAAAATCCTTCCTCTAGAACAATGACGTTCAGCCTTTGGGACCATAGCCTTTTTAGAACAGCCAAATACTTGGAGGATCATCACAAGAAAAGAGTCGCATTTTAGATCCACTGACAGAAAATACTGATGACCAAAAGCTGATGTAAACTCAGTATGGCTCTTATATGAATTTCTGCTTGTTCAATCTCAACAATCTCTACAAATATCTGGAAAACAATCGCAGGCACACATACAGACAGATGGTCCACATACAGGAGATGTCATCCACTAATCTGAGAGGTGACATGGTTTAGTGATTAGGAGGTGGCTCTTTTTAACCATGACCCCACCTCCTAATAGAAGAGAGACTCTAGACAATCTTCTTCAGCCCTTTGTGTTTCAGTTTCCTCAATCATAAGGTAATCAACATGCTATTAGCTTTACCGGATTACTGAACTGGATAAGTAAATGCATGAAAGTTCTTAGAACGGTGGCTGGCACATAAGAAACACTCAATAAATAGTAACTGTGTTATTTGTGGCAGACAGTATGTTATGTTTGGAAGGGTCCACAGTCACCAGCAGTAATATTCCAGGCCCACAGAGGCTAAAACCCACAGCACAGAAAATACTGTCCTAGAGAGTGATTTTCAACAAGCAGGGCAAGCTGGGGATGGAATCATGCTGCTTTGAACACCCTGGGAGATCCTGTTACCCACCGTGCACATCATAGTCCAGCAAGCTTTCCAAGACACTCTACTAATTCAATGCAGACATACCCAGAATCAACTCTATTTCATTTCTAATTTCTGCAGACAGTGACTTCTACCACTATGCTCATTAGGATCCAATTTTACTATTACAAAACAATGCTTAGTAATTCCCTGGGGATTCTTATAAAGCGATTTTGTATCTGCTTACCAATAAAAACTTTATTAGTACATTTAATAAGTTGAGAGCCTAAGATTCCACTTCAATGGGAACTGGCAATACTTTTTGGGGTTTGTTTTTTTTTTGATAGATTGAGGTTTTTTTCATTATAAATAAATGTTTTCATTATAAATATAGATCCTTATTTAAAGTTACAGAAATATAAAAAAAAGAAAATAATCATCCATAGTTTTGCCTTCCCCTCTCCTCACATTTAATATTTTAGTGGACAAATAAGTCCACTAAATTTTCTTATTCTTCCTAAAATTTAGGAAGAAAAAGTCTTACTTCTATATTTTGGTTTGTGATTTTTCCAAGAGCACCATGGCTCTGGACTTCTGTTGGAATTGATCTCCTAAGCTTTGCAGGGTCTGTTTGACGGTCCCGGGTGGGCCCCAGAGGCGTCAGGAAGGGAAAGTACATTGCCTGTGTGAATGTTAGTATCCCAGAGGCCCTAATGAGAACCACAGGGCACCTGACAGGAGGGTCAGCAGCTGGGATCTCAGCAGCATTCCAGCCAATTCCATTTATAAAGGCAAAAAGGGGTGAAACACACACACCTGTGTACGCCTGGGAATTTTCTAGTAAGAAGTATCATATGAGAGATATGATGGTTGTTAACTCTGCAGAACAGGACAGAGCGTCTTGGATAACAAAGACCTTCTTTGCATTGTATTTATTTCAATGTATTTACTTTCTACATCATGCATTGTATCGTGTGGATGGGTTATTGTCTTAGTCCATTTTGTTATTGTATAGTGGAATACCATAGGCTGGATAATTTACAACGAAAACAAATTGATTTCTCATAGTTCCAGATGCTGGGAAGTTCAATATCAAGGTGCTGACATTTTACAAGGGCCTTCATGCTATGTCATCTCATGACAGAGGCAGAAGGGCAAGTGAGGGTGAGACTGAAACACAGACGGGGGCAAGTTTGTTTTTATAACAACCCACTCTTGAAATAATGATATTAATTTATTTATGAAAATGGAGCTCTTGTGGCCTAATCACCTCTTAAGGGTCCCATCTCTTAATACCATCACAATGGCAATTACATTTTACATGAGTTTTGAAGGGGATATTCAAACCACAGTAGCTATTCTCTTCATAATAACAATTTAGAAAGAGATGCTGCTGCTGCCCTTTTGGTAAAAGATAAAGAATCAGCATGGCTGCTTCTCTCTCAGGGTAGCAACCTAAGCAGTAATGGAGGAAAACAGCAGTGGTGGGAGAGGAGAACACACCATAAAATTGCAGACATGCTTTTAAAAATGCAAGGCAAGCTGACTGACTGCTGCTTGAATACCTCCTAGGCTTCCTAAACTCCAGATCTCCAACATCATGAAGTAGCTCTCTCTAGTCCTGCAGCTGCAGGAAACCATGAGCTCACCCACAATCACTCTGAACTGTCTCTCACTGATATGGATGCACTTTCTTTCTATATTTGAGCCTTACAGATAATGGACAGAACAACATGAAGCAGGATGATGCGAAAATTAATAAGTACCTTATGGAGGATAGATACGGCATCAAAGAAAGGTACAAACAGATATTAATGAAGAGAAGCTAATGCTGAGAACATTTAAGCCCTATCAGGGTTGGCCCTTGGATGGGCTGAACTAGGACATGAGCAAAATACAAATTGCAACAGGTATGGGCACCTTTGCTGTTGATTCTTTCTTTCTCTTCAGTTCCTCCTGCTGTATAGTAACCAGTAAGCTATTATATGGGGTCCAGGATCTAGCCAACTATACATTTTCAATGTATGTATGTGCACATAAAATCACTGCAGTCTTAGAGAGCAGAGGAAGGAATGTCCATAAATGTGTCCCTGTCTTCAGAGATGAAAATGTATACTCAAGCAGGAAAAATAATGAAAATATATACAAGACAAAAAAGTATTTTTATAAACCTGTAGAGAAGAAATGCTATGGTCTGATTGTCGCCTAAAATCCATGTGTTGAAACTTAATCACCAATGTGATAAGTATTAAGAGGTGGGGCTTTGGGGAAGTAGTTAAACCATGAGGGCAGAACCCTCGTGAGTGGCATTAGCAACCTCTATAAAAGGTCAGCTATGTGAGGACACAGTATGCCTCCCCTTAGGAGGAAGTAGCAACAAGCTGTCGTCCCGGAAGCAGAGAGCAGCCCTCAGCAGACATGAAACGTGCCAGCACCTGGATCTTGGACTTCCCAGACTCCAGGACTGTGAGAAATAAGTTTCCATTATTTATAAATTATTCAGTCTGTGGTATTTTGTTCCAGCAGCACAAATGGACTGAGATAAGAAGTTAAGAGCAAGACAAGCTAGTTACAACAAGTTAGTGTTAGTATTAGATCAAATGGCTTGTACTAATTAGTAGCCTTGTGATTTTGGTCAAGTAGCTCTCTAAGCCTCAGTTTCTTTAACTTTAAAAATGCATTGAATTATACCTAATTCACAGACTTAAATAAAAAGTTTATGTAAAATACCTTCCATTATAGAGTACCTGGCATATAGTAGATGGTTTACAAATGTTAGCCATGATTCTTGTGTTCGTAGAACAGTATGATGTGACAGGAAGGGTCATGGTAAACAATTGAGGATAAGCATAACTTTTCCCCTTTTCAAGGACTAAGGATGTAAACATTCCAATATCCAGATCAGGTAACTCCATTCCAGGAGGGATGACAAAAGCCCTTTGGGCTCCACAGTCCTGGCCTGGCCCCAAAGAAGAGTTACTACTTTTCTTTTGTACAATGATCAAAGCTACCAGAGTATGAATCATGTATACAAGTGAGGGATTCAATGAAGGACTCAGGCAGAAGGACACTATTTGAGATTCATTTCCACAAGCACCTCTAATAGTCACCTCTCCAATGAGTCTGTAGTGGGTGCTAAGGGGAGCTCAAGGGTGAATGAAACCTGACCTACCTTAAATTGAGACTAAACTCCTGTGTGTGCAGAATACTGAATTGAATGCTGATGGTGATGGAGAGAGGGAGGGAAAGGACACACAGGGTAGTTCCTCCACGAAAAGGAGCTCACCCTTGAGTTGGAGATGAAGAGAGAATGCTTCTTGGGAGCCAACTCAAGAATACTTCAGATGGGAGAAGTGAGTCCATGATTACCAATGAGCCTGGTGTCAACTTAGGATAAGTGCTGAGCAGTGGTAAGAAAGGAGTAAGTTGAGGATAGTCATGAAAACTGGTGTGTAATGAGATTGGCAGCTCCTAAATCCAGGCCACTAAGTGCAGTTAGGGCAAGCAGGCAGGCATGAGTACATTTCAGCAGTTGTCAAGGTGTCTCCACCTCCTAATATTCATCAGTAGTACCAATGGCTCCCTTGCTCCTTCTCTGTGGCAGGAGCAACCCAGAAATTACAGATGAAATATTAAAGACTCATACAAGATGTAGCTGCCAATCAAACATGGGTATGGCAGTTAATAAAGATAAAAACAATTAGCATTTGAAGACCACTTACCACATGACAGGTGTGGTTTTCAATATCTTCAGATTATTAACTCATTTAATCCTCCCAAAAAGCCTATGAGATAGGTACTATTCTATTATTACTGTAATAATTATTACTGTAATTTTCGAGAAGAGGAAACAGGCATAGAGAGGTTAAGTGAGGAGCTGGAGTGACTTTAAATAACTTTTTGACAAACAGGCAATGCCCTGTTCACAATTCCTTCTCAGGAACTAGGCTAGTTATTTTCCAGTGAGAACATCAGGATAAGGTGCAGACTGTGGCAATGAGACTTAACAAAACTAAGCTATTAGGTGAACTTTCATGCTCCCACCTCTGCCTTAGTAGCACTCTCTTCTAGCCAGTTGAGATAATGGAGCCACAGACTTGCACTTGATTCTACGAAGCCATCACATTGACCCTGAAGAGGGTGATGAGAAGGCCTCACTGCAATTTTTCTCCTCATATAACCACGTGCCTCCAGCTTGCCTCCTTACACTTTGGCTCTATTTTTTTTTTTTTTTTAACCACCACCACTCCCAAGTGTCTTAATCACACCTTGAGACTACCCTGTGGATCTCACTGCGGTCTTAAACAATGGTTAGCAGTTAAATCTGAATTCAGACACAGCTTGGAAATGAGGACTAGTGATTTTCATAGCACCAGTGAAGTGGAGAAGGCTGAGCTTCGCCCTAAGGGAGATATTCACTGAATCAGTTTTATCAAAATCTATTTATTCAGTTCTGGTGACATGTGTTTAAACTGGCTCTAACTGAGCACTTTGCCATCAAGAAGCAGCCAACAATGATCTTTAAGGCATATCCAAGATACTTTTAAGTATGTCATACTAGTAGAAGGCATCCAGGTGCAGATGTACTTGCCGTGAGAGAATGTGTCTGGGTACGTGTGGGATCATGGGCTAACAGTGACAACTGCGTTGTTCTTGAATCCTAGTATGATCAAGCGTGAGTCCCTAGAGTCCAGCCAGGCACAGAATACCTAAACCCTCTCTAGCTGAAAGTCTCTGTCTGAATTCTATAATAGGTTGACAGTTCTCTCAGCACTTGTAAAACCTCAGCTTCCAGGGCAGCCTTTTTTTTTTTCTTTTTTCTTTTCTGCAAACCAAGTGGCACAATGAAAAACAAACACCACAGAAGCACTAGGAAAAAAGAGCCTGTAGATGCTCATTCTCAGGGGCTGAGATTCCCACTCCTCTAGCTTGATGAAGCAGCCTCGGGTGCCCTTTCCTTTGTACCCACTAGTTCACGTTCATTTCTCAGTGTCTATTCTCTCTGTGATCCGCAAAGTCTCACAGACAGCCCTAAGTGAGTAAAAAATTTAACATCTGACTTTAGATCAGAACAATATACTCAAGATGCTAACATCTTTTTGGTGTTCTCCAGGTCCAGGACTCTCCAAACCAGGTTTTCTGCTTCTCATCATCATGGTGATTCTTGAGCTAATCCCCACTCTCCAGGGGAAAAGTTTTTGTTTTTGTGTTTTTGAATATTCTTGAAAGAGCATTCAGGTGAAAAAGAAATAAAGAACAAGCAGGAAACAAACTAAAGACTCATTTCAAAGCAGATGAATCCATACTTCCTATAGACAGATGTTGATGCATTGGTCTCCTAACCAGTCCCCAATTACTCCGAATAGCTCTAGTGAAGCTTAGCTCCAGTGAAGAACACTCCATCACAGTGACCCACCTTCAATTACTCATAGCAAGAAATTTGATCAATCTTACCAATTTAGATCTCCCTAAAAACTTATCCGATTCTATTCTAATTCTGCAGAGCTTACCTTTGTATGTACTAAATAATTAATATAATTACATAAAATCCATGTGATGCCTATGATAAATTATGTGTCCAGAACTCAGGATGCATCCACTTGGGAGCCTTAATGTGATTTAAAAGATAAAATCCACTATTTACCTGAACCATTTGTCAAATTTTGAAGTCATGGTAATTTATGCATACAGATATTACATATATGTGTGTATATATATATATACATTTACATAGCTGACTTAGATGACTCAATCATTTAAAAAACATTCTTTATTTCCCTGTGAACCCACAATCAGCAGAGCACTCTTATAAAACCAAAAGAAACTGCCAATACAGCTTGGATACAAACAATCAAACAAAAGACAGCTAGGCCTCAGAGATCATACTGTGGTATTATCTCAAGAGAGCATTAAACCAGGAATCAGCAGAACTGGGCATTAGTCAGTTTCACTATTATTAATCTTTAGGATATGAGGTGAGTTATTTAACTTCTGTGACCCTCAGTTTCTGTACGCAACATTAAAGATTTTTTAAAATTCACCTATGGGAGGCCGAGGCGGGTGGATCACCTGAGGTCAGGAGTTCGAGACCAGCCTGACCAACATGGAGAAACCCCATCTCTACTAAAAATACAAAATTAGCTGGGCGTGGTACTACAAGCCTGTAATCCCAGCTATTTGGGAGGCTGAGGCAGGAGGATCGCTTGAACCTGGGAGGTGGCGGTTGTAGTGAGCAGGGATCGTGCCATTGCACTCCAACCTGGGCAACAAGAGCAAAACTCCATCGCAAAAAAAAAATTCACCTATAATTCCCATATACAGATGTATACTAGCATATTAACAATGGCAATGCCTTTCAACCTTTTTTCTATGCAAATTTCTATCTATACCCTTATCTTCATCTACACAAATACCCATACATCTTTGGAATAATATTGTATAAAAATGAGATTGGATTCTGAGCTCTTTTCTGACCCTAAAAATTCCAATATTCTGGGAATAATGAGGACCAACAATTACATTACTGCTGGTGTAGGCAGCAAAGTTAAAAGATGTGTAGTAACTCCTACCAACTTAGAACACTTGGGGAGTAGGCCTACATGGATTACTGAATATTCAGATAGCTGGGAGTTGGTCAGCACAAGTGTTAGATAAAGCAGGCAGAAGAAATCAGGATGAAGAAGGTAAGTAGACCAGAGTCTTAGGGAGCTTTGGGGGTATTCTGCAAGTAAAGAATTACCACAAAGAAAAACTGTGCAGCCTTAAAAGACAGGTGGAGATACAAATCAAAACAGCCCAGACAGAAGGTCATAAATCATTCCCAGAATCAGCAAGACTAAAGAGAACTGGAAAGCCAGGAAGTCTTATACCATTAGTGGGGTTGGTTCAGCCCTTCTAGAAAGCAATTTGGAAACATCTATCATAAGCCTTGAAACAAGGGTGTCTTTTGACCCAGTATAGGAAGTCGCAAATTTTGCCCCAAGTTTTCACCCTTCCCTTTGCCACATAACCCTGCAGTACCTTCCAACTATGGGTAGGACAGAATGTTCCGCCCCTTGACACTGGGCTTAATCACATGATTTGCTTTGTGATGTTAGTGAATGTGACACAAATAGAGACTTAAAAAGCAGGTGTGAGAATAAGCTTGCCCGTGCCTCTGCCAATGACATGAGAATAGGCTAGGGCCAGCCTGCTGGAGAATGAGAAACAGTGGAGAAGAATCAAATCCCCTGAGTCATCCCAGCGCCAGCTATCCGAGATCAGTACAAACACCAAAATAGTAATAGTAGTTTTCTCTGGGTAGTGAGCTTATGGGAGATTTTTATATTCTTGATTTTGCTTATGTCTCATTTTTACTATATATATCTCTCTCTTTTAAAATATTTTTTAAAGTATGGCTGAAAATTAAGGAAAAAGCCCTCAGCAGACAAAACCACTGGTGTTGTTCATGAAAGGTGAAGGAAGAACTGAGATGGATAAATCAAGACTGATACTGATCAGAAGCCAATGCCACAGAAATGGCTGGGCAGAGGAAGAGACAAATGCCAAGAGAAAAGGTCTGATCAGGATGAGAGCTGCTCTTTCACTTGCCTCTATTTCCTCCCTTTTAACTTATGATTGGGAGAAAAAGGACAGCTGTATTATTAATGCATTAATTATGATAATATTCTGTGCATGACTAATACATGTCAAACCATCCTCATGCCAAATTGAAAACTGACATTTTTACTTCATGAATATTTCTCCATCAGTGACATTTATTGTACGTTCCCAATCTTGCAACAGTGAATGTCAGGTCAACTATCAAGCATTTGCTTTCCTTCCACTTTATTTCCTATTTTAAAGCAGTATGCTGTCACTGTTAATTGGGGTACAAAGTCAGATTGCAGTAGGAGAATTTGAGGCCTCTAGTTTCCTGAACATCTTGCTTTGGTCCCTGGAATACTATGCTATATCTGGGCTTCCTGTCTATCCATGTCTTCTTCTTTACCCTACCTAAACTTGAAATTATCACCACCACCCCCGCTTGTACTATCACTATTTGTTGTTTCATTTTTCCTTTAAAACACTTACCATCATCTAGAATACTGTATATTTATTTATTTTGTAGATTACTTATGACTCGCCATTAGAATATAAACTCTAAGGAATTTTTGTTTTATCCACTGCTGTTTTCCTAGCACCTAAAATAATTCTACAACATACTTGGCATTTGTTAAAATATTTGTTGCATGAATGAACCACTTTCATGAATGGGCTTCTGGGAATCCCCAGAGATCAAGCATTCTAGTGAAAAATTTTATCCTATTTAAACCATACAATGATTTCCTGAATCTCAATTTGTTAATGACCTACAAATAGACTTTTTCAAAAAGCTGCATCATTCAGGTACTCATTTTTGGTCACCCCTTTCAGATTTTCTCCTGAAAACCTGCAACTACACTCACTTTCCCCTCCATGTGTTTATTATATTACCATCCTATGATCACTTCTTGGCCATTGTATTAGTCTGTGCTTGCGCTACTATGAGGAAATACCTGAGACTAGGTAATTTATAAATGTACAAAGAAAAGAGGTTTAATTGACTCACAGTTCCACATGGCTGAGAAGGCCTCAGGAAACTTACAATCATGGCAAAAGTCACCTCCTCACAGGGCGGCAGGGGACAGAATGAGTGCCAAGCAAACAGGGAAGCCCCTTATAAAACCATCAGATATCATGAGAACTCACTCACTATCATGAAAACAGCATGGCAGAAACCACCCTCATGATTCAATTGTCTCCACCTGGTCCCACCCTTGACATGTGGGAATTATTATAATTCAAGGTGAGATTTGGGTGGGGCCCCAGAGGCAAACCATATCATTCTGTCCCTGGCTCCTCCCAAATCTCACCTTGAATTGTAATAATTCTTGTGCGGTTTGCCATTATTTTATGCTTAATCCTCACATTTCAAAAAACAGTCATGCCCTTCCCACAGTCCTCCAAAGTCTTAACTCATTCCAGCATTAACTCAAAATTTGAAGTCCAAAGTTTCATCTGACACAAGGCAAATCCCTTCCACCTATGAGCCTGTAAAATAAAAAGCATGTTAGTTACTTCTTAGATACAATGGGGTTACAGGCATTGGGTGAATACACCTATTCCACATGGGAGAAACTGGCCAAAACGAAGGGGCTACAGGTCCCATGCAAGTCCAAAATCCAGCGGGGCAGTTAAATCTTAAAGCTCCAAAATTATCTCCTTTGACTCTGTGTCTAACATCCAGGGCATGCTGATGCAAGAGGTGGGCTCACATAGCCTTGGGCAGCTCCACCCCTGTGGCTTTGCAGGATACAGCCCCTCTTTCGGCTGCTTTCATTGGCTGGCATTGAGTCCCTGCAGCTTTTCCAAGTGTATGGTGTAACCTATTAGAGAATCTACCATTCTGAAGTCTGGAGGATGCTAGTCCTCTACTCACAGCTTCACTAGGCAGTGCCCCAGTGGGGACTCTGTGTGGGAGCTCAGACCCCACATTTCCCTTCTGCACTGCCCTAGCAGAGGTTCGCCATAGGGGCTTCGCCCCTGCAGCAAACTTCTGCCTGGATATCCAGGCATTCCCATACATCTGCTAAAATCTAGGTGGAGGTTACCAAACCTAAATTCTTGACTTCTGTGCACCCACAGGCCCAACACCACATGTAAGCTGCCAAGGCTTGGGGCTTGTACCCTCTGAAGCAATGGCCTGAGCTCTACATTGGCCCCTTTTAGCCACAGCTGGGATGCAGAGCACCAAGTTCTGAGACTGCACAAAGCAGCAAGGCCCTGGGCCCAATCCATGAAACCATTTTTTCCTCCTTGGCCTCTAGTCCTGTAATGGGAGGGACTGCCATGAAGATCTCTGAATATCTTGGATACGTTTTCCCCACTGTCTTGGTGATTAACATTTGGCTCCTCATTACTTATGCAAATTTCTTCAGCTGACTTGAACTTTTCCTCAGAAAATGGGTTTTTCTTTTCTATCGCATCGTCAGGCTGCAAATTTCCCAAACTTTTATGCTCTGCTTACCTTTTAAATATAAGTTCCAATTCCAAACCATATCTTTGTGAATACATATAACTGAATGCTTTTAAGAACACCCAAGTCACCTCTTGAATGATTTGCTGCTTAGAAATTTCTTCCACCAGATACCTTAAATCATCTCTCTCAAGTTCAAAGTTCCATAGATGTCTAGGGCAGGGGTGAAATGCAAATTTAGTCTGTTTGCTAAAGTATAGCAAGAATTACTTTTATTCCAGTTCCCACCAAGTTCCTCATCCCCATCTGAGGACTTCATTGTTTATATCACTATTAGCATTCTGGTCAAAGCCATTCAACAAGACTCTAGGAAGTTCCAAACTTTCCCACATCTTCCTGTCTTCTTTCTTCTGAGCTCTCCAACATGTTCCAACCTCTGCCTGTTACCTAGTTCCAAAGTCACTTTCACATTTTTGGGTATCTTTATAGCAGAACTCTACTCTCTGTGGTACCAGCATGAGTCTGTTCTCATGCTGCTATGAGGAAGTAACTGAGACTGGGTAATTTATAAAGAAAAGTGGTTCAACTGGCTCACAGTTCTGCATGGCTGGTGAGACCTCAGGAAACTTACAATCATGGCAGAAGGCATCTCTTCACGGGGCAGTAGGATAGAGAATGAGTGCCAAGCAAAAGGGGTAGCCTCTTATACCCCCTTATACCATCGGATCTTGTGAGAACTCACTCACTATCACGAGAACAGAATGGCAGAAACCAATCCCATTTTTTAATTGTCTCCACCTAGTCTCACCCTTGATACATGGGGATTATTACAATTCAAGGTGAGATTTGGGTAGGGACACAGAGCTAGACCATATCAGTCACCAATTCTCAACTGCCATGTTCCGTGGAAATTTTCACAAACCTCCATCTACATGGTTCCTAAAGCATCCATTCATAATCTACCATGTGCTCATGGGCTGAATTAAGAGAAGAACAAAGAAGAAGAAGCATAGCCTCTGAAAGCAAAAAATGTAAAATATAGTTGGAAGGATAGAAAACTCTGGTGTGATGTTTTCTGGAAGTTCTGCTGTAATTTCAAACTTGCTATGTCAACAACTGAGCTTACTCTATATCTCAGTGTTAGTGTATTATATGTGTGGCCTAAGACAATTCTTCTTCTTCCACTGTGGCCCAGGGAAGTCAAAAGATTGGACACCCCTGAAACTATAGAGTGCTTCTGGATTGGTCTGATCCAAGAGAAGGTTTGGTTTTAGATCTGGATTTGGAGGACAGCTCATTGTGGGCTCTGGAAACTGAAAACACTAGAACTTCCCTGTGCAAAAAGCCATAGAGGGCCCTGGCATCTCGACACACTGAAGGTGGCCAGGCTCTCAAGGATGGGCTACCCAGTGGCTATGAGGCCAGCTACCTTTCATGTGTGTAGCTTTCTGACACACAGAAGAGCAAGCAAGAGAATGAGAGTGAGAGCAAGGGAGAGAGAGGGGAGACAGAGACAGAGTGAACTTGCAACTGAAAAGACAGAACTAGAGAAGGGATAAGAAAGAAGAGCAGTCAGGCAGCTCAGTATCATGTCAGTAGAAACACCAGATTTGAACTGTAATTACTTTTTTTACCCCAACTCTGTTCATGTTTTACAAACCAGCACTGACACTTGAACAAAGAGCTTTGAAAAAGCAAGCAGGAGCTAGGTATGTAAATAGCCAGTGCTCTGTGTTTACTCACAGCCTTTTCCAAAGAATGGAGAAGACAGAAGTGGCAGCTTCCTAACAAACACACCACAAGGAGTGAGTATATGGTTTTAGCAGTGTATACATTTGCTCAGCATAAGAAGCATTTAGTTGTGAACCCTTGAAATCACAGGGTTCAGGAGGTAAAAACTCAGGGGATTACTTGTAAGTGAGAGGAAAGAAGACAGAAGGTTCACAAAAGGTAGCCAAGAACCTACGGTAGATTCCCTGTTATAACACAGACTCATCACATGGGTCCATTTTGGTCCTTGGGGAATTTCAAGACCAATATGTGCGTGCACTTTGTGTTGCGTGAATGTGTGTGTGTGTAGGTAAAAGCATGTGAGATTTTTCCCTGCATACCTCCACACCTTTTTCAACACCAAAATCAAAATATACTGTATTCTAAATACCCAAGAATGTCTGACACCTAGTAAGGGCTCAATATTTGTTAAGTTGAACAGACTTGAAATGGAGAAGACCATAGCCAAGCTGTATTCAAACACAGTCTTATTCAAAAACCTCTAATCTTGTTTCCCAACCCTGCTTCAGGGCATCCACCTTCCCAACAAAATACATACTCATCCCCAAAGACAAAACTAAAGCTGCGCCCAAAACCATAAATTCATTTTTCTCTTCTGAGTTTGAAGAGAAACTCAGGCTTCCAGTCATTAGATATGGCCAGGTTTACTCTGTGAGTGTTTCTTCCTCTTTCCTCTCATCTCCTTCATCACCTCCTCACTAGTCACCCCACCTTGAGTCACTCATCCTCCAATCCATGCTCCAGAGAGTGGTCAGTTATCTTTAAAATAAGTTGTGATTGTGCCACTTCCCTGCTCTAAAAACCATTATTAGTTCAGCATTATTGATTGGGTGAAATGGGAAGGGATTTGATGAGTGAACCTGAGAACCATATGTGGAAGATGAACAGAGAACAGAAATGCCAGAGGCTGCCAAGACAGTGAGGCCAACATCACAGGATAAGCCCAACTGGGACTGTCTGCTGCTGGGACTGTCCCCACAGGGCCCAGCGGGGCTGCTGTCCCCACCCCTGCCACCATCAGAGAGGATTTCTCCTCCCAGACACTGAGCCTGGCTTCTGTGGCTCACTGAGACTGAGGAAAGTGAGACTAGACTTTGGGGGCCTCAGTCATGGAATGAGGGCCCTGTCTCCCTTTTAGACTCATACGGGTAAACTTCCAAATGCAGAAAGGGGGCTCAACTACTGGGCGGCTTTAAAAAGTCACCAATGCAATCACTTAATCAAATTGTAAATTACGCTTTGTCTGCCTGTCTCTCAGAACATGGTGAGCACAGCAAGGGACATTCACCTCTGTTCCCTCACACTCAACATAGCCCTTGACCAGACTGAGAAGACTGTCTCCTTTTGCCAGGATTCTGTGAGATAGAATACTTCCTGGGGGCTGCTGGAGAACTGCTTGGCCACCCAGAATTGCATAATGGGCTTATTCTTAGGACTTGAACTTAGAACCAGAATTAACCTGCAGAAGTTCCTGTATTTCCCATCTGAGCTTTAAGCTGAACCTGAAAAGCATGACAGCTCAAAAACACTCCAAACAGGTTGGCTTACTCCATCTGGGCTTCTATAACTAAGTACCATAGACTGGGTGGCTTATAAACAATAGAAATTTATTTCTCACAGTACTGCATTCTGGAAGTCTAAGATTATGGTGCCAGCATGGTCAGCTTCTGGTGATAGCCCTCTTCTGTACTGCAGACTTCTTACTTCTCATTGTATCCTGACATGGCAGAAAGAGGGTGAGGGAACTCTCTGGGGTCCTTTTTCTAAGGGCATGGATTTCATTCTAAGGACCTCACCCTTATGATCTAATTACCTCCCAAAGGCTCTATCTCCTAATATCACATTGGCAGTTAGGGCTTCCACATGTGAATTTTGGGGAGACACAAACATTCCATTGCATAGACAGATTGGCACCAAGAAAAAATTATTTCATTTTATACAGCACACATTATCCCCATTTTCAAATGAGGAAATTTTCACATGTGGAAATGGAGAACAGGCCCTTATTCTCCAGGCCAGTGCCACTGCCAGTGTGGCCCCTGGATATCAACATCTCTTGAGCAACTGTTAGAACTGCAGTTTCCGGGTGCAAGCCCGTAGTCGCAGCTACTCAGGAGGCTGAGGCAGGAGGATCGCTTGAGTCTAGGAGTTCTGGACACTTTGGGAGGCCGAGGCGGGTAGATCACTTGAGATCAGGAGTTTGAGACCAGCCTGGCCAGCATGGTCAAACCCCATCTCTACTAAAAATACAAAAATTAGCTGGGTGTGGGGGCGGGTGCCTGTAGTCTCAGCTACTTGAAGGCTGAAGCAGAATTGCTTGAACCCAGAAGGTGGAGGTTGCAGTGAGCTGAGATTGTGCCACTGCACTCCAGCCTGGGTGACAGAGGGAGACTCCATCTCAAAAAAAAATAAAAGGCGGCCGGACGCGGTGGCTCACCCCTGTAATCCCAGCACTTTGGGAGGCCGAGATGGGTGGATCACGAGGTCAGGAGATTGAGACCACCCTTGCTAACATGGTGAAACCCCGTCTCTACTAAAAATACAAAAAATTAGCTGGGCGTGGTAGTGGGCACCTGTAGTCCCAGCTACTCAGAAGGCTGAGGCAGGAGAATGGCGTGAACCCGGGAGGCGGAGCTTGCAGTGAGCCGAGACCACGCTGCTGCACTCCAGCCTGGGTGACAGAATGAGACTCTGTCTCAAAAAATAAAGAAAAGGCCGGGCACAGTGGCTCATGCCTGCAATCCCAGCACTTTGGGAGGCCGAGGCGGGAAGATCACCTGAGATCAGGAGATCGAGACCATCCTGGCTAACACGGTGAAACCCCATCTCTACTAAAAATACAAAAAATTAGCCAGGCGTGGTGGCTGGCGCCTGTAGTCCCAGCTACTCAGGAGGCTGAGGCAGAAGAATGGTGTGAACCTGGGAGGCAGAGCTGGCAGTGAGCCAAGACCGCGCCACTGCACTCCAGCCTGGGTGACAGAATGAGACCCTGTCTCAAAAAAAAAAAAAAAAAAAAAAAACCTGCAAAGTCATATTTCCCACCACAGACCTGCTGAATCAGATTCTCTGGGGAAGAGCACAGCTATCTACCAGTGTTTCTGGTAGAAGCTCTGCCAGTGTTTCTCATGCCCACTAAAGTTTAAGAACCACTACCCTATAGCAGTGTCTCCAGATGTTGTGGTATGTTTTCCCTGGAGGGTGTGACACATTTGCCACATGATGAACTTTAGGAAAAAATATTTAGCTCTTAGATATTCATTTCAATATGCAGTCAGTAAAAAACCTGGCTAACACATTGAACCCAGGATTTCAAAGACATATTGCTTGTAAGATGATGCCAAATCTACTTAAGTCAAACAAGATAATCGGTGTAAAGAAAATCAATACTGTTGTAGGGAGTTATGGTGAAAATAGTGAACCTGATACATAAATTACCAAAGTCTGGGATACCTGGTATACCTCCAGTTCCAGCTATAAACTGGATATCTCAATCTGTTCAGGTGGCTACAACAAAATGCCATAAACTGGGTAGCTTATAAACAACAAAAATTTGTATCTGACAATTCTGGGGGCTTGGAAGTCCAAGATTAAGGTGCTGGAAGATTTGGCATCAGGTGAGGGCTACCTCCTGGTTCATAGATGGTGGCTTCTAGTTCTTCTTCTGTCTTTCCATGGTGGAAGGGGTGAACAAGCTCCCTTGGGCCTATTTTATAAGAGCACTAATCCCAAAGCACTCATGACTTACTAACCTCCCAAAAGGCCCCCCTCCTAATACCATCACATTGGTGATTACGTTTCAACATGTAAATCTGAGGGAGGGACACAGACATTCGGCACTGAAGATCAGAACATGAGCCCCACTTCCAACTGAGCTCCCCTACCAGCATCCACTGCTCTCTCCAAAATCCCCTCTACCCGATACCTCAATTTAACCTCAGAACCTCTGTCCATGGCTTTCAATGCTAAATAAAACTGAGAAGGAGAGGGATGTGTAGTTCTATCTTCTCTGATAGAATAAGATCATGAAAACCCTGAATGAAAGGAATGATGGAGATGGAAACACGATGAAAGTGGAAAAGGGCTCAGGATTGGAAAGCTGCAGGCAACGAAGATGAATTCTGCCATCTTCTCCAGTTATAAGTCCCAGTGTCACTCACCATATTCCTGTGCACTTAGAGGCCAAAGACCTCCACGTTGGCAAGATTAAAATGAGAAGGGGTAGTCAGGGCTGACATCATAATTTTTCTACTACTAATAATAATAATGTTTATTTACTATTATTATTATTCATAATAAAGCCATTTAAACCCCACTCGATAAGAGGTTTAACAAGCCCATTAAGAACAGGAAACCTATTTCCTGCCTGGCGTTGTTTACACATATAACTAGGAGACACTCACTGGCTGGGGGAGCCCCATTAGCTTTAACCAAGAGTCTTGGCAGGAGCTCATGGAAGAAAATAAATCCCTCAAGCAGAATTACATGTGGTCAGTGAGGTCATCGCTCTTGTTTGGCTGGGCTGCACTCTAGGCTGAAGATCCAGAGATGGAGCAGGGCGACCCCACAGCCATGCTGGAGATAGGCACCCTCTTGTCCTTCTCTCATCCAAAGCCAGCTGAGCACAGTTTACTGGCACAGCCAGCTCTGGGGAAAGTTGAGAAGTGGTGAAGCCAGTTTATTATCTACCTTTCTATGTACTCTTGCCCATTAATGGGCAATATTCCCCACTCCCATCTGGCTTTGCATATTTTTCTGCTGCTTCCTGGTTGCTCAGAATCCCCATTCTATGATGGTTCCTTTAGAGCCAAGAGACTTCCAGGCCCATCCTGCAGCCCCTTCAAGACCCAACTTCTTTTGGTCACCTTCCCTTGAGAAAGAATTGTGTCCTGTAACTAAAGCCATCCATCATATTTAAGGGTCATCCATGGTGGAGTCTCCATACATCATGTCTGACCCAGGTAAAGAGGAGCCAGGAGGCTCCTCTCCCAGGGATGTTCCTCTTGAACAGAGAACTCTGAGGATTCAAGCAATCCTTCCCTAATAGATTCCAAAGTCCTGCCCCCACCTGAAACCACTAGGGAAACACTGTGGTGCAAGGGTTTTCTGAATTGTCCTTCCTTCCTCTGGGCCAAATCACACACTAGCCACAGACTGTGGACTTGGTCTGCATTAAGCTGGTCCCTGGTAGAGCTTAGCACTTTCCACACCGAGTAAAGCTTTCTTCCCAGCAGAGGGCAGCAACGGTCAGAGGCTGGAGCCACTGGTGCGCAGCCATCTCAGAGGGACTCGATAAAATGGGAGGAAAGAAACCAGAGGGAGGAGGAAGGAAGGAAGGTGGGGGCTCGGGGCAAGCACGCAGAGCTCGCTGCTCCTTCACCTTCCACCCTGGTAGGGTCTGGCTCTGTGGCCAGGGCTCCCCATAACCTAACGCTTTCTGGTTGGCCTGTCTCACCCAGCACCGCCAGCTTGGAAGGCTTTGGGTTATTAATCTAGCCCACCCAGCCCCAGCACACTTAAACCTCTTAGCTTTCCCTTACTCAGCTGCTGATGCCACATGGAAAACTTGAAGGAAAAGAAAAGGGGGAGAGAAAAAAAAAAAAACCAACATTTTAGTCTGGGGTAGTTCTGCTTCCATAGCAGATATTTTTTTGCATCCACTTCCTTTCAGCAGGAGCGACATTTACATGAAAACAGAGCTGAGGACAGTAGCCTCCCTGGACCTGAAGTCACCATTTGGCCCTTCTGGGCTGCTGCCAATGCCAGCAGCAGTGTGAGATCATCGGGGGCACCTGTTTTTAGAGAGTCTTTTTTTTGGCCGGCGTTGGGGGCGGGGTGGGAGAGCCGGCATGAGCTTAACACAGGCTCTCAGGACAAGTATGATCAGGAAGTTGGGCACAATTGATCAACCAAAAAAGCAACACGGTTTCATTGAGGCAGAGCTGCCAGTGTGGGGAGGAAGCAAAATCATAACGTTCAGAAATGTTAAAGGGATAGAATCTGTGGAAATCTGAAGTGTTCAAAGAATGACCAGGGTCAAATTTTTGCCAATACTTCACCTCCCGTCTTCTCTGACTCAATTGTTGCTGCCAACCTTTCAGATGTGATTGCTAGGCTATAATACTTTTTCCAGCTTTCATCTATCTGAGAACCAGAATTCCAGCCATGATGAATCCCCAATGCCTCTGCCAGTCTTCTGTAATGTACAGAGGCCTCTATCTACACATAGTGCAGGGCTACATGCAGAACAAACCCCCAAGAAATAGTTGTTGCCTGCCTAATTCCTGACATTCATACAGTGTTTTGCAATATTCAAAGTACTTTTACGTTTATTATCACACTGGCACCTCATAGCAACCTTATAAGGTAGACAGCCATTATTAAATCCATTTTACAAATGGGGAAATTGAGGCATAGAGAGATTAACTAGTAAATGGCAGAGACAGAACAAACTCTTGTGGGATTCTATTCCTGTCTGCTTATGGACTTGAACTTGAAAACACAGCCTGCTGTTCTAATCCCCTTCACCCAATGATCAAGACACCTTGATTTTCAAAGCACTGGATGTGCCAAACCCCAGATGCTTTAAAAATTCTCTCACACTGGAAAAGCTCTCTACCTGAACCTTCAGTTTTAGGGTTCAGTGTGGAGAAAGAGCTTCTGAGAAATCCTGGTGGTAGAGCTCTGTTTACAGGGGAAACAGGAAATTGAAAGGCCTTGTTTTAGGTAAGTTTGTGAATTCCAAATTGAATAGATTGGCACCAAAAGGCAGGCTTCTTAGGATCCTTGCTTTCATTTACTCCTTGATCTATCTACTTAATAAATGAATATTAACTGAGCATCTTCAATGTTCAAGGAACTATCTTAGAATCAAAGGGATAGGAAAAACACACAGGGCACAGTTATCCCTATCAGGTGCTTATAATGTAGTTGTATAGACAACATATGGTCATACAAAATAGCATAAGATAGTATATACCAAGTGCCAAATGAGTGCTGCTGCTGCTGAGCACTTTAGAAATTCAGAGAGGGAACGGCACTGAGTGCGCTGAGGAGGTCAGAAAAGGCTCAGTGGAGGACATGGAACATAATCTGATCCCTGAGCAGGAATCAAAAATATGAAGACAAGATCTAGTGGAAGGGTTCTAAATATAGGGGAGAATACTGACTGAGACCCCCACCATATGTCAAGTACTGTGGTAGGCCTGCACAAGGTTTGGGATGATAGGCAAAACCTACCATGGCGGCCGTGAAGACAACAGCCTAGGGAAACAGTAGATAAGGATATAAAGATTAGTAGGAGATGGAGCTGGAAAATGCAGACCAGATCGAAGGACCTTCATTACCAGGCCAAGGACTTGATTCCAAGAAGGAAAGGTACAATACATAAGTTTCTAACCCATATACCTCCTAGAGAGGAGGCCGGGGTGTTCCATCAGGACCTACAATGTCCCATAGGTGAGGAGTAAGCAGTGGTGCCTGGTAAATTTCTAAACAAACAGAGATTCTGGCTTCATGCAAACATTCTCAGGACAAAGGAAGAAACAGGTAATGGGTGAAGTAGGAGCCCAGTCAGAGCCCAGTCCTACCTAGAGATAGTTAAATAGACATTCTGAGGAGCATTTGTGAGCCTCCAGTGAAGAAGATGTGTGAGGTTGCTCTTGACAGAGCCAAACACTATAACCTTCACACTGAGGCGGGAATAGGAGGAGGGGGACAAAAGAGGGCGGAGACAAAAGATGTTCACTTTAAGTCAGCCAGTTATTGGCATCAAAGCCAGAATTCACCTCCTCTCTCCATTATTATTGTGCTTTATTATTATTATAAGGGAGAAATTGCTATTCACTAGGATTTTTTCCCCCTAAGTATTTTAAATGCTGCTGTAACAGTAAATATCACCTCTGGCATATTTGTCCTGGAAGAAAAGAGTATAATTTGGAATACCTAATTGAAATGTGCTACAGGAGATAAGGCAGCTGCAGAGACTGACATTTAAAGGTAGGAGACACCACGGAAGACATGAAATATTACTGTTGCTGCCTCAAAGCCAAAAGCCACTTTCACAGAATGGAAACATCTTCCAGTTCTGCTTCCTCCTTCTGGGTCCCCCATGATCCCATTCCTCAGACTCACTGCTATAGGGTTCCAGTCATCCCTGCTCTTCCTTTAGAACCCCAACCTGCTTGCATTGAGAATGCTGAAGGGCAGGCAAAAGAGAATGATCTCATCCTAGTTCTCTTTTGCTCTTATGTACCCATCTCAAAATCCTAGGTCTTATTTCTTGATAAATCATTTACATGAAGGTGGATGGGCTAGACACAAAAGGAAAGGAAGAGATCTGTCAGTGCATCTCAGTAGGTCTCATTAAAAAGCTGTTTTATGCCACTGTCGCAGAAACATAGTAAAAGACTAGAGGTTACCTGTGCTTAACGCCCAGCAAGCCCTGCCCATTGATAACTGGACACAGTTACTTTCTAGGGGATGGATCTAGGTAAGAGCTAACTCACTGCTTATTCCCTTCACCCATACACCAGAATAAGGACAACTTGCCAACCAACCATCAGACCTACTGCAATTCAGATTAACCACGTTTTTCATCAAACCTATTTCCGTTATCATTTCTCTATCCATCAAGGTAGCTTGTCTCCAAAGATAGCCCCCCAATAAACCATGACTCCTAATATTTCCCTTTGTGTAGTCCCCTAATCGATGAATATTGGAGAGCCCTTTGCCTTGCTTTTGATCAACAAAATATAGCAAAAGTGACAATGAATGACTCCTGAAGCTAGGTCATAAGAAATTTTATTTTTTCTGCCTGGTTTTCTAAGAATAGTTTTTCTTCAGATAGCCCTTCTTGGAACCCAGTTGCCATCCTGTGAGAAGCCTTGGTCACATGGAGAGATCATGCATAGGTTCTCTCTGGCTGAGTTATCTCATCAACTGCCAGCTATTTATGTGAATGAGGTACCTTGGATGTCCCATCTCATCCAGACACCAAATGATTGCAGCCTCAACTGAAGTCACATAAAGTGGAAAAACACTCAACTGATTACAGTTATTTCTTAACTAGAAAAATTACTTAGGATCGTTAAGGCCATATCTTATTTACACTCTTTGTTAGACAAAATGGCTTTCAAGAGTCTTAAGGATTTTCCTCTAGCACAAATTTCTATTATGGTTATCTATCACTTTATATTTTTAAGAAAACTATTCCAAAATATAGTGGCTTAAAACAATGTTATTTCTCATGGTGCTATGAGTTGGCTGGGGTCAATTGAGTGGTTTAATCTTGGAACCTCTCATGTGGTTACAGTCCATTGTAGCCTGGGCAGGATGTGCAAGCTGGTTTCTTCATTCCCATGCCTGGGACCTCCTGGGCCTCTTTCTTGCCTCATGGGTTATCTCTTTCCCCAAGGCCTCTCCACCACACTTGGGCTTCTCACAGTGTGGTCATTTTTTGGTAGTCACATTACTTACATGGCAACTGGCTTCTAAGAGTCAGAAAACAGAAGCTGCCAAGCCAGTTAAGGGCTATTTCCAGAGCTGCCTCACTGCCTCAGCACTTTTTTTTTTTTTTTTTTTTTTTTTGAGATATAAGTCTCACTCTGTCACCAGGCTGGAGTGCAGTGGCGCGATCTTGGGTCACTGAAACCTCCGCCTTCTGGGTTCAAGCGATTCCTCTGCCTCAGCCTCCTGAGTAGCCGGGACTACAGGGGTGTGCCACCACACCTGACTAATTTTTGTATTTTTAGTAAAGACTGGGTTTCATCATGTTGGCCAGGATGTTCTCAATCTCCTGACCTCATGATCCACCCACCTCGGCCTCCCAAAGTGCTGGGATTACAGGCGTGAGACATCGTGCCCCACCTGCCTCAGCGTTAAACCACCATATTTTATTGATCGAAGCCATCATAGGGCCTATCCACATTCAAGAGGGTAGAGAGAGAGTCTACCTCTTAATCTTGATGACAGAATGTCAAGGATACATTGCAGAAGAGTGCATGGGATGGGAAATATTATTGTGACTTTCTTTGAAAAATACAATCCATCACAACGTACTACTGTTTTCCTATTTTAAACTCCTATGCCTCCTTGGAGTAGAGAAACCCACATGAGGCTTATAATGAGTCAAAGGTATAGTATGATTGTCAGAAACGTTAATTGCCAAAATAACAAATCCAAAGCAAGGAAAACCAACAGGTCTTCTGGCCTCTACACTGATGAGACCAGGTATGAAAGAACATTTTCATGACTGAGTGCTGAATTTAAGAGGAGCCGATGACAAATTGGAGTATGTTCCAGGAAGAGTGTTCGAGGTAGAGTAGGACTGAAAATCATATCATTTTGGAAGTATATGCTTTCCTATACTGCCCTGTTTGAAGGAGATGTGTGGGCAAGATTCCCATCTTAGTTCCTCATTTTCCCCTCTGTGTCCCCTATGGCATAAACCTGTAGACTTCCAAGCTGTATAATTTGGATTCACTGGCCAAAATCTCCTCTGAGATACTTACATTTTTAAGAGTCTATGGTCTCTTCTCTTCAAGGGCATGTATATGGTGCTGAGTGTATGTAATTTTCTGAGATCTATCAAAGTATCACCATTTTCTCATGCCCAATGAAACTGTGGTATATGTTATTCATATTCTCTGTCATTTCCAGTCCTCTTTTCTCTCTGAGAAGACAGAAAAATTACAGTTCTCTACAAAGTTATAGGTAAGCATGATCATGTGACCTGCTTTGGCCAATGAAAATGGTAAGAACATTTAAGAGACAATTTATTTCTTGTTCTTTCTCTGCTGTAGAAAACCCTAAAGACTCATGTCGAGATGGTCACATCAAAAAGCAGCCAAGCTTCTGAGCGTATAGGTCCCTGAACGTCCAAGATAAGCATAGCCCCACTGTTACCCAGTGTTAAACATGTAATATGAATAAGAAGTAAAGCTATGCTGTTCTAAGTCACTAAAATTTGGGAAGTAATGTATTACTGCAGCATAATCAAGTCTAACCTGACTAATACAATCACCATGATGCGAAAAAGCATCCTGAAAAACATCCCTGAGACGTATCTAATCTTTTAGGGATATAGCTCTATAAATGAAGACCTGAAACCTAAAAGCAATTCTATTTCAGAGTAGCTCAGGAAATAGTAGTACAAGACCAGCAAGAACCAATGATTATCCTTTAAAGCCAAAAGCGGTAGGGAATTTCCTCTATGAAGTTATCTTGAACACTCTTTTCCCCCAGGTTCCAGCTAAGTGTCTCCAGACCTGCCTGCATTCCAATAGCTTTGGCATATTGAGAAACTCTCCATCCCAGAGCCTGCACTTCAGCTTCTGAATGATTCAAGAGAGGTGGCCCTCTAATCCAGCTGGCTTGTAATAACTCTCACAGCATGTACTGCCCCAGAGGCCTGCAGCTAGCGAGGGGTCAGCATCTTGGAAGGGCCAGTGAGCATCCAGGCCTTGGAGAAAGGTTATACAGTCTGTATCTTCAACAACAGTTTAATTAAAAAGTGTTGCTGTTTGTTAAATAAACACTCATGCATTATGAAACACATCATGCACTCTGCCCAGCAAGGTTGGGACCTGAGTCCCTAAGAGAAGTGTTTGTAGTTCTGGAAATTTCCCTTCCCAATCCCAACCAGAAGATTACTGAAGAGGACAATGAGTCAATAGCATGGCATGATTTTTAGTTGTCAATTTAGGGGGAAAAATCCAGTATGTTCAAAAGTTTGGTTTTACCAGAGCAGTTTCATATAGTTCATCTATCCTAATGCAAGCACCTCTGGTTAAAGTAGGGAGGAAAACAGTCAAGAAAAGAAAAAAATAAACCGATCACCCTATTAGAATAGAAAATAATCATCTGTGACTTTCCACTCCTAGATCCTACCACCCTTTCATAGCCAATGGCCCCTTATTGTCAGGCAGGACCTTCGAGAGATCAGACAATTTATTTCAGAAAACACTTACTGGAGTCTTGCAACAAGCAAAGCATTGAGGGCATACACAGGTAAGGAAGAAAGATGCAATTTACAATCCAAAAGGTGCTCGCTGCAGACAAGTACACAAATAATCACTGCATATTGCAAAACAATGTTAGTTGTCATAAGAGACACATAAACCAATTGCAAGGAGGGCTCAAATGAGAGCCTGCTCCTCCTCTGCCTCTGCATTCACTCAATCAGCATCCCATCTAAGACATTTTAAGCAGCCTTAGTGGCATGTTCAAGTCCAAATCAACTTTTTCCAAACTTGCAGAAGAACTTTACTTATGAAATACAATTTTATACGTGTCAAATGGCAATGAGTACAAAGGTGATAATGCCAAGTATTGTCAAGAATAGAGACAGTTTAGAAATTTTTCTTGTGCATGGCTGGTGGTAATCTGAACTGGTACAGCCCTTCTGGAAAGCAATCTGAAAGTATTTGGTGTGATTAAGCATTATTTGCCCTATAACTCAGGAACACCACTTTTGGGAATATATCCCCAAGCAATTTTTGCTCAGGGCCACACACCACACTATTGGTAATTGTGGAATTGAAGCAGAGTTTTAGCACTAGAGGAACAGATGCAAAGATGTGGTGGATGCATACAGAGAAATGCTATGCAGCAGTTACAGAAAACCAACTAAATGAAAACATAGCAACATGAAAGATCTTATAAACAGTGTTGAATGGAAAAGGTAAAAAAATGCATTAAGATATACAGCATGCTGCCAGTAAAATAAATTTTAAATAAATAACAAGAAAAGCATGTTACATATCTTACAAGGGTATATGCATTTTTAAAGATATATATAAAAGCTATTGTAATGGGTATCTCTAGGGAAAGGCCATTGAAGATATAATTAGGGATGAAGGGAAAAATAAATAAAACCAGGGAGGCCTTGTGCTACTGATGACAGTGTGTTACAAATGGAAAGACTTGTATTCAACTCTCTTCACCCAAGGTCAAAAGGAGAAAATACACTTTGTTTCACTAGGGCAAAATGTGAGATATGTGTCTGAGCCAAATTCATATACAGTGTAGTTTACAAGGACAGGCATTGATGTCAGAAAGACCTGGTTTTGAATTAGAGCCCTGTCATTTATTAGCCATGTCCATGAGGATTAAGAAACAATAATGTAGGTAATGCACTTAGCACAGTGCCAGTACAAAGTAAGCAATGAGCAAATGGTAGCTATCCATAATAGATGATATAATTTATCATTATTTTTTTCATCTCCTTCTACTTTAGTCCACACACCTTGAAACATTTTACATGGTAAGAAAATCATCATAAGCTGCTTATTGGATTATGGTTTATACTTTCCCTGCATCCAACAGATTCAGAGGCATTATATGAGATTAATCAATAAGAAAACAGAACCATCAGGGATAAAAACAGAAAAGATGCCCCCTAAAGGAAGTAGAGAAAGTAAATATCAGCAACTATCTAGGCAGAACTGGAGACTACACCTGAGCACAGAAGTTAGCCAGAGTAATAGCAATGAAAATATTCATAGAAAGGGAACTAACAGACTTCATCATTTTCATTTCATAGCAAATAAAGCTGGAAAGGTCCTATGCAGAAACACACTTTGTTTAGATACTTTAATACATGGGTTTTCATGTTAGAACTGTTGGATAACATGGAAGACAATTCCTACCAGGAGTTTGTCGAAGACACAGAATATCCATCTAGAAAGGTGACTCAGGAACTGAAGGATGGTCATGAAGCTGTTGGAAGGGGGAAGGGAGTGCTGAAGTCACATGTTTGGGTCTCTTGTTTTCTGATAATTTCACTAAGCTCAGAGAAAGAACTGGATGAATCTGGAAGAATGGCTGGTGAACATAACGATTAGCCAGTCTTTCTTACATAGTATAGTTGTGAAGGTCCCAAACTCTGGAGCCAAACCATCTAGGTTCAAATGCTGCTCTACCACTTACTAGCTCTGTCATCTTGGGGAAGTTACTTACCCTCTCTGTGCCTCAGTTCTCTCAACTGTAAAATGGGGATGATAGTACCTATATCACAGGTTTGTTGTGAGAATTAAATAAGTTAATATTCTTAAGACTCCTAGAACAGTGCTGGGTGTACAGTAAACAAGAGTTATATAATCATGTGCTCAATAAATAAGTAACAGATGCCTTCAGCAAGCCTCTGGCAGGTGCTAGATTGCAGTCGATTCTGACTGAATTATCTTAACAAGTATCTGGAGTGTAGATATTCTTTGACGCTTTAAGTACCAGCTGTGAGGGAGGCAAAGTTGTCTCTTATTAACAGTTAGAAGTTGGGCCTTGTACTCACACAGGTGAAATATACATAAACTCTTCTTACCAGGCACTGGAGGAGACGTAAAAGCACAGTGACAAAGGTAGTCCTGCAGCTGTCATAAGAACTAAAGGCCACTAGGCACCTGGCTTTGTGTCAGGAACTTTACGCATCTTGGTTCTCATTCTCAAAACAAACTAGTCACTGTTAGCTCCATTTTATGGATGACACACTAAAGTTCAGAGCAGTTGAGTGAATTGTTCAAGGCCACACAACCTATTAATGTTAGAGTTACTATGCTCCTTCCATTGTATGACACTGCCCCTTCCTCATTCAATTAAGCAGGAGGGAAGAGGAATATTAAAGATAGAGATCTCAGCCAGGCACAGTGGCTTGAACCTGTGATCCCAGTACTTTGAGAGGCCAAGGCAGGAAGATTGCTTGAGCCAGGAGTTCGAGACCAGCCTGAGCAACATGGGGAGACTGCATCTCTACAAAAAAAAAAAAATAGAAAAAAATATAGCCAGGTGTGATCATTTTCACCTGTGGTCCTAGCTACTCAGGAAGCTGAGGTGGGAAGATTTCTTGAGCCTGGGAAGTTAAGGCTACATTCAGCCATGATCATGCACTGCAGCCTGGGTGGCAGAGCAAGTCCCGGTCTCAGAAAAGAGAAGAGGGAGCGGAGAGGGGAGGAGAGGGAAGGGGAGGGGAGGAGAGAGGGAAGAGAAGAGAGAAGGGAAGGGAGAAGGGAAGGGAGGGAGGGGAGGGGAGGGGGAGGGGAGAAGGAGGGGACAGGCAGGGGAGGAGGAGGGGAAGGGGGAGGGGGAGGGGAGAGGAGAGGAGAAGAGGGGAGAGGAGAGGAGAAGAGAGGAGAGGAGAGGTCTCCTAGATGTATTTTTTTTTTACCATCAACTGCTAGGGAGAAGCCCAATGATCACAATGCTATTTCTTGATGGTCTACAAAAATGGAGATCAGGTATTTGTTAATTCAGTGGAGCTTAAAGTTGATAACTTTCCTTTTTCTAGTGCAACCAACATCATAAATGCTATTTATACACAAGGCACACTCCCATAGCAAAGAATCTCCAGAGAGCATGTCAGAATGCAGGTGCATGGAAATGATGTTATTTTAGCCATAAGCCTGATCTGCCTTAATTTAAATTTTTAGTAAATCTTTAGCATAATTTTAGTATATGCATTATTATTTGGTAACCTATTACATATGACATACCATCAATATGTCTCAGCACCAAGATTAACATTGGCTAGTTTAAGAAGCTCCAGGGAGGTCTACTCTCACATAAACGTTTCCTTTAGAGTCAGTAAAATGCAGTGCTTGATTTACACCTTTTGAAATTTAGTTGAGTTTTGAAGGATTTTGGAATCTCAAGAGCTTTGGATTAAAATGGAAATGCCATCTATACCAGTATTATTTAACAAAGAGCAATTTCCAATTTAACCAGCCTCTTGGCATGAGTTGCATAATAGATGTATGAATTAGTGATGTCATGAAGACTGGAGTAGGGGTGGGGGAAGCTGGGAAGGCTGAAGAATAAGGAGAACCAATGGAAACCATTATTTTCTTTGGATTTGCCTTGGAAAATGGTCTGAACCACCTCTTCAGCAGCAGCCTGTGCTAGAAGGGAGATTCCAGGCAACAGGGGCAGGGCTGGTCTGTGAAAGTGCACACATAGGAACCTTGCCTTTGAAAAAGGAGACAAGAGCTCCTCACACACAGGATACCAATCTCACATTTCAACATCATCAAAATTTAACATCTTTCCATAATCACCACCTGCATTATTCATTTTGTTAAAAAGACAACCTTTGAATCTGAAAAACAAAAGAATAAAGAGGTAACTTAACCTCTTCTGTTTTCTTCTTCTAGGACACATGGTTTCCCCACCCTTGCCACCATCTTGGCACAACGTTGGAAATAAAATTTTTATTTTCCTCTGGGATCAATAATATTCCACTGCCAGCCCTTACTGTTACTTCATTTTGAGTTTCTATTTTAGCTCCATGCCTACATCTAAGATACACATATAAAGGGAAATAGTCATCATATTCCATTTAAAAGTTGAGGAATTAATTAATGTTTAGACAGGCAGAATGATTTGTTCAAGATCACAAGGCCTGGTGACTGTTCAAGTCAAAAGTTGTATCCTTTGAGCCACACATCTTTGGTGTATGCAGTTTTGTGGCATTCTTCCCTCTTCTCAGCATCTTGTTGCACTAGTAGAGATAGGATGAAACATGCTAAGGAAGAGTATGAACATGTTTGCATAGAAACAAATAAACAAACAATTAAACTAGAATGAGAAGACTTAGCTCTAGAGCCAATTCTATTCCTCTGTAGTTGTAAACCTTGGGAAAGTCTCTAATCCATTACATGACTCAATTTTTCCATTTATTAAAGGATAATCTTTAAAACTCTGTACTACCCAATGTATGAAGACACTGCCACAAAATTGCATATGAAATCATTTTGAAAGTTAAATGTTATAGTGTTAAATGTCATAGTGCTATTTATTTTGTGCTTAGTTTATACCAAGCACAGTACTAACCTCTTTATAACTGTTACCTCATTAACTCTCACAACCATCCGTTAGTGAATGCCATTAGTGATCTCATTTTACAGAGGGAGAAATAGAGACACAGAGGATGGTATGTGACTTGCCTAAGACAACTCAAGCTGATGAATGGCAGAGCAGAGGAGTGAATAAGCTCCCAATGGGCCTCCAGAGCCCATGCTCTCGACTGTTCTATGTTGCACAGATAATGAACTGCATAAGGGATTTGGAAGGGCAAATGGGTGGCTTGGTGGATGGCTAGGACAGAGGATTTAGATACCTGTCAAGTAACCCTGCTCTCCCAGAAAATGGAGTTAGCTGTTCAAAGTCTGAAAAGTGTTAGAAGACACTCCCCAGTACCTTGCCTAGTGTTGATCTCAGAAAACTGGCCCACGAACGCTAAAATGTCAGCAACCACGTTTACTCTTTTAAGTTCCTGGTAACATGAGCATCCTGTGGGTGAAAAATATGGACAATTGCAGGTGGTGCTTGAGATTTGGAATCACAGACTAGGTAGAGCCAACTCAGAAGGTCTCTATGCAGAAGATTTGACAAAAAGTGTAAAAGTCATGAGAATTTCACTTTTCTTTTCCTTTGAAGGGCAGATTTTCGGGCCACTAACCTGCACAGAGTGACCTATAACGTGTTCACTGGAGTGACTCAGAGACACACTTGAGATCCAAAAGCCAATTTGGTCCCCACGAAGCCTGTTTTGGGGTTGTGCCTCTATGCTGGTAAACCAGAGAGCAGCAGTGAGTACAGGGAGCCAGGAGGAAAGGAGCCCAGCAGAAGGGTTCCACCCCAGGAGAGGAGCCCAGCCCGAGGCTTCTACTTGAGCTCACCCACAAGTAACCACATATCCAATGGCACCTCGCTTGGTCGTGACCGCCAAGCTGAATAGGTTCAATGTATTCTCTCCCTTCTCTCTTTGTAAGCAGCTTGCTCACCTCAGTCATCCTCCTAATAAATTTCTCATTAATTAGGAGGAGGTGTCAAAGTGCCAACAAAATTAGCAGTTTCAATATATCCCTAAAGTGTGAGTGTTTCAAAGAAAATGAAGGCTTGGTCACTCCCTGGTTATTTTTACTCTCTGCCACCCACTTACCTTTTGGGCCATCTGTTCCCATCAGAGTGCACCCTTCATCTCCCTCCACACACTCTTCTCTCTCTGCCTCTCTGGTTCTTTTTTAAAAAGTGTTATGCATGTCTTTTCCCTTTTCTTTCCAACTGTGATAAATCACAAGTAGGCTGCATTTATCCTTCCCCTGCCCCTCCACCTTATTGCCTGGTAGAGAGAGTTAAACAAGTTGCTGTAGGCACAACTAACACAGGGGATTATTTGGAACCATGAGTTGAGGGATAAAATTAAATCAGCAAGAATGGAAAAAAAGGAGCAAGATTTAGATAAGTTGGATGAGGGTATGGGTAGAAATACACAGCATATGCAAACAAGACTTGTGACAAAGCAGCTCTAGCCTCAGATCCCCGGACTTACCAAAATTAGAACTTCGTTACCATTAAATCAGAAGTATTCCTCCTCCTCAAAGAATAAGAACCACTATCAAGTGTCCCATGTATGAATAACCTCTCTGGATTCTTGCTGATAGAAGCCTTTTCTACAACTCTGAGAGGGGATGGGTGGATGGGGCTAGAGTGCCCCATTGGCAGGGGGGAACAAAGCTTTGGAAGCTAAGGTGTGGAGGCAAACCTAACATGGGGACCCTTGAAAAGAGTGGGTCTTAAACTCAGTGGGGACTGTAGCAGGGTTCACCAACAAGGGCTCAGGTGCTTCACAGAGCAAGTGAAAATAAGCCCAGACAATCAGGACTGCATAGGGTTCATTCTTTCAGCTCCTCAAACTAGAGGCTGGATTTTTTATATTAGGTACTCAATACAGTATGGTTGAAATGAATATAGGACCCCTCAGTACTTATTTGGGATCTAAGAAACACAGACAAAGGACGGCGTAAATGATACAGACATGCAAATAGTAGCCAAAATTCAAAAAAATAAAAAAGCTCTGCCTACAGACATTTTACCAAGTCAATGTGGTTAAAGATAATCATAGCATTTACTTCATAAGGTTGTTATGATGATTAATTAAAATAGTCCTGGGAAAGTGAATTCACAATAAATGGGGTTTTAAATTATTTTTTATTGATGTATAATAGATGTACATAGTTTCAAGATATATGTGATAATTTAATACATTGATATAATTTATAAAGGTCAAATCAGTATACTTAGGATATCCATCACTTAAATGTTTATCTTAATATTTTCTTAATGCTAGAAACATTCAAATTATTCTCTTCTAGCTATTTTGAAGGGTACAATAGATTATTATAGGCTATAGTCACCTTACTGATCTAACACTAGGTCTTATTCCATCAAACGGTGTATTTGTACCCATTAATCAACTTCATCCCTTCTCCTCAAAAATGTTGTTTATTTATTTCTAATTACTACTTATTTATTTATTTATTTATTGGAGACAGAGATTTTTCCCTGTTGCCCATACTGGAGTGCACTGGTGTGATCACAGGTCACTGCAGCCTCAAACTCCTGGGCTCCAGCAATCCTCCTGCTTCAGCCTCCTGAGTAGCTGGGGCTACAGGCGTGCACCATCATACTTGGCTATGTTGTTTATTTTTATTTGCTGACTTCATGCCAGTGTCTGAGACTTCTCATGACCACAGTTAGAGGCAGCTGGGCCTGGGCCTGAGCATGAACAATGCTGCTGAATAGCCCTTCTCCCTTTCTAAGATGTGCTACAAGGCACAGAAATACTCAGGCTTTCCTTTATCACCATCCTGTGTGTTGAGAGAGATAACCAGGATTCTGTACCATACTCAAAAGGAAGGAAGAAAAGAAACAATTTTTAACACCTACTATGTGCCAGCCAATCTGCTGATCACTGCTTGTTATTTGAGGAAGATATTATTTTCCACATTCTTACAAATGTTACTGAGGCTCTGGAAGTTTTAATAGCACACAGCCAAGATGGTTCCATTAGCAAGTGACAGACTTAGGACTGAAATCCAAATCTTCTTGAATTAAAATAAATATATTCTGGCACACCCCACACAAATGCCACTCCAAGCCTCTACACTGATCTTTTGATTCAGAACCACCACTGGAGGCAGGGCCTGGCTTTCAAATGCTGCCCAGGGTATCGCGACCAACAAGCAAAGTCTGGGGATCACTGGGCTACTTGATCTCTAAGGGCACTTTTGGTCCTATAATGAGAAGAAAATGTTTTTCTGACTTTTTTTCTTACAGAAAGACTTGCCTTTATTTTATTTAAAAAAAATACTTTGATAAGCCCACTTGAAGAAAAGTAAAAAGGGAGAACTCCAGGGAGGAATGGGGGGAAGTAGAGTGGGGAAGGGAGAGAAGAGGGAGGATAGAAAGGGAGATGAAAGAGGAGAGAGAAGTGGAAGGAGGGAAGGAGGGATGGGAAAAGGAGAAAGGGGAGGAGGTGAGGAGGGAGGGGAGGAGGGCAGGAAAGAAGGAAGGAGAAAGGGGGAAAGAGTAGAAATGAGAGAAGAAATAAAGGAAGGGAAATGAGAGGGGAGGAGGATAGAAAAGGGCAGGGAGAGGAGGTGAGATTAAAAAACTAGAGAAGGGGGGAGAAAGGGAAAGAAGAAAATGGAAGGGAAGAGGAAGAGCAAACTATTGTATGCTGATTAAAATGATCCTCCCTGGGAGTCACTAAATGTTCAGTATAGTCTACAAAAATCACAAACTTTATGAGAGTTGTGAAATTTCTTCTGGAAGTCAGTAATAAGACAAAGTTCTGCTTCTGAATTATCAAGAAGGCAAGAGAGAAAGAGCATACATAGATATAAGTAGAAAAAAAAAATGCTTGTACTGGGTTTTAATTCCATAGGTCTATTCATAGATAGGAATACAGCAAGTCTTGATCCTTCAGCAAATGCCAATAGAGCCTTAAGTGGACCCTTCTCTGATTACATGGAGGCCCTCTGTCACTTTGATAAGAGCCTCATTAACTGAGCATTAAATGCTATTCATATGCATGCTCTTCTAT